>NC_000003.12:106735877-107038907 GCF_000001405.40 Homo sapiens
GGCGTGGTGGCGGGCGCCTGTAGTCCCAGCTACTGGGAGGCTGAGGCAGGAGAATGGCGTGAACTCCGGAGGCGGAGCTTGCAGTGAGCCGAGATAGCGCCACTGCACTCCAGCCTGGGAGACAGAGCGAGACTCTGTCTCAAAAAAAAAAAAAAAGTATGGTGACTGGTACCATATGAAGGTAATGGATCCTCTCCATTCTAATAAAGACAGTAGTAATCTTTAGGCTTTCTCCTCAGTAGCATCAGTGTTATATAACTTGGACATCATGAAATGAGAATGAATAAAAAGAGAGAAGACAGAAAGATAGGGAAGAAAAAAAGAGACCTATTTAAATTTTTCTGAAATTTTACCTGCTGTTATACTCAGTGTCAATACAAATGTGTCCCAAGCAATAGATACAGTCAAGTCTGAAATAGTCAATGCTGGATGGTAAAACCTATTGAAAGACTGGGGCAGTAGTTTCAAGGGCTTCCTGATCAATGATCAATAGCTAACAGCATTGTTAGGTGTTTCTTCTGCTTTATAGTTGTGCTTAACAGGGAAGAACAGGGAAAAATGGGTACACTATTTCGTTCTGACTGAAAGTTATGACCCTATATATTTTAAGAAGTTTTTCTATATTGCGATGCAGGCAAAGGCTAGACGCAGCTCTGAATGATAGCAGCTGCTTTCCCCGAGAGGAACCGGAACTAGTGAGCTAGCATGACTCTTCCCTACTCATACGCTCACTGCCTAACACTAGGCTTCCCTGAGCTCACCTTCCCCAGAAGAGTGGAGCATCAAGAACTCTGATCACATCATTTCCTCCATATTTCCATTCCATTTCAGAACACATAGCCCACTCTAGTGTTTGAAAAATGGAAATCTACTTCTTTTTTTTTCTTGAGACAGAGTCTTGCTCTGTCCCCCAGGCTGTAGTGCAGGGGCGCGATCTAGGCTCACTGCAAGCTCCGCCTCCTGGGTTCACGCCATTCTCCTGTCTCAGCCTCCCGAGTAGCTGGGACTACAGGCGCCCGCCACCACACCTGGCTAATTTTTTGTATTTTTAGTAGAGACGGGGTTTCACCGTGTTAGCCAGGATGGTTTCGATTTCCTGATCTTGTGATCCGCCCGCCTCAGCCTCCCAAAGTGCTGGGATTACAGGCGTGAGCCACAGCGCCCGGTCATGGAAATCTACTTCTAATCAACTACACATGCTGAGAATTATTTTAAAATCATTTTTTCTCTTCTTAATATGACAACACTGATTTAACATATGGATAAGAATGCAAGCCATCATAATAAAAGTTATCCCACATTGATTTTTTATTCAACCATTTATCATAGTTTTTAATCTTATCAAAAAAGACACAATTTTTACCATTGTTTATGCCTGGACTTTGCTCAACCAACTGGCAATGGATCTCATGCCACATCTGATAAACTGTAAACAGTTATTTTGATTGAGACCAATGTGTGCGATTTGAAATAAGCTACTTCCAAGTTGTTCATGTACATGTTCTTGAAATAGCAAGGACTAACTTCCTTGCTCTCCATTAACCTTGCATACAAGATAAATAAATGTGCTCAAGTGAATATGCAAGTCTGTGGCTTGCTGGGTCACTAGCACATAAATTAGAACTAGTGTTCTGAATGGTGTCCAGTCAGAGAACACTGATCATAGTAGGAGAGAATATGGTTTTCTTGGGACCAAGCATCACCAGAAAGAAAAATGCTAGATCCACAGACTTTCAAATTAATTTTACAGAAAAGCAAATATGTTACTGTGTTCCACTGTGGAGTTACATATGCTTCCTTTAGTAGTCAAAGAAAAAATGTGACTTCCAGGGCCATTTTAAATAAGTTGCAGGACAAGCCCTACAGGGCTTCAGCATATACTCATTCTTATGCCCCAAATTATCAACTCTATGTCTGTATATTTGTCTTAGTCTGCTATAACAAAAGACCATGGACTTGGTGGCTTAAACAACAGACGTTTATATTCTCATGGTTCTGGAGGCTGGAAGTCAAAGATGAGGGTGCCAGCCTGGTCAGTTTCTTGTGAGGTCCCTCTTCCTAACTTGCAGATAGTCGCCTTCCTTCTGTGTTCACACATGGCAGAGAGAGTGAGGGAGAGACCAAGCTTCCTTCTTCTAAGGGTAATAATGTCATCATGAGGCTCCCACCCTCATGAGCTTATCTAAACCTAACTACCTCACAAAGGTAGTTACCTTCAAATACCAATACATTAGGGGTTAGCCCTCGAATATATGAATTTTGGTAGACAAAATTCCATCCATAATATTCTCCAGATGTACAGGTGCCTTCATCAAAACAATGAGTCATCAACACTAGATGGATTAGTATTAGTAGTCCTACACTGAGGAGTCTGTAAATTGAACTTTATTATATAGAATATATAATAGTATATGGATAGTAAAACATTATAGGAAAACTCTACACGCTACCAAAAAAAGTAATGATAAATTATTTGCTATATAAAGAGGAACGTTCATTATTCAATAAACTCAAAGTACTTGTTTTAATAATGTCAGTATATACTAAAGCAAATTTTCCCTTCCCTTGTCACTCACCACTTCTCTCTGACTATAAGCATGTCCAATATAGCCCTTCCATGTCAAATCTCTTCTCAACCCTGCTATCTCTTTTAACTAATAATTTATTCATTACTGGCGCTCTGATGTGCAGGGATGGTTCTCCTTCCACTTTTCTCCCCTAAAACCCATGTAACAAGACAACCTGATTCCAAAGTTGTAAAACTCAGCTTTTCAGATCTCCATATACACATCATTGATCTTTATGTGTGTGAATTTTCTTGAGCAAATCCAGGCCTAAACAGCCTAAGCCCTAAGAACATAAGCAAAGAACTAATTAGACTTCATTCTCCTTCATTCTCTGGTAACCTCCAGACTTACACAGGACCAGTTCCAGATTAATGTGTATTACGAACAAGCATGGTCAGGCTGTCCTAACATTTTCCAGGCCTGGGCAAGAGTACAAATGGAAATCCTGCTTGGATCTAGAGGAACATGCATGGGTATAACTGGAAGGATGGATATGGGGAAGAGGTTCATGTAGGCACTGGACATGAAGTGATGGTTTCTGGGATTGCTGGGGCATAGTTTAGAAGGAGGGTTCTGGGTGGAAACATCCCCTTAGACCCAGAAAATCCTCCTACCTAGAAGAGGAGCACAGTCAGAAGACAGAAGAGTGGGACTCTTCACCACATGGAGACCCACTGCAGGAGTCCTGGCTTCCTGGGTTTGTGGTGGCACTTGCCAAGGTTGTCTCTTTATTACTCTGCCTTCTTAACCTACTGCGTTAAATGTCTTGGTACACAGTCTTAACCTTAGCCTGTAATATTATCACCCTTCTTGTAATTTAGGGGCCATTTAATTTCCCTTCCTTATATCTTTCATCTTTCATCAACAGCATCCTCGTTCCCTGCCTGAAGCAGCTAACAGCTAAGCATGGAAACTAAAGTGTCTCATGCAATGCTGCACAATGAAGGCCAGGATAACCTGTGGATACCTAATAATATAAAGGTATTAAGTGAAACCTAATAATATAAAGGTATTGAGACACCCTGGAGAGCCTCTTCCCTCTTTGAGGGAATAAAGTTGCTACTTCCAGTTCTTCAGCATGCCCTCCTTAATTCACAAAGGAAATGCATCTCTAAGTGGGGAGTGTCAGTTCTCAGGGATGGGCAAGACACTGTTCTTGAGAAGATGAACCTGGTGCATGCTCCTCAAATCTCACACCACAAAAAATCTTCTACTTTTACCTAAAAAAATCTTTGATCCTATAAAAACAACAGAAAATTTTTGGAATCATAAAAATGTTGGAAAGAAAAAAAAAGGAATCATTAGCCACTACTATTTTCTGTTTTATTTTTAAAGTAATATCAGGTTGTTCTACCAATATTTTTAAAAACTACTACATTAGTAGTCAAATATATTACAGATTATCTAAGAAACATGTAACTTATCTAAGAAACATGTATCTAGAAAAATCAGGGTTTTAAGAAGGCTTTGCCTGGTGTAGTTAGTGCAGCAAAAGGAAGACAAGTGGAATTCTGTCCCTCGCCACTCTTCATTTAGTGTGGAAGAGGCTTCATCACTGATTTTGGTGGCAGGAAATAGTGATAGAACTTGATTTGTGGACCATAGGTTAATTTAGAAATCTGTCAATTTATAAAGCTAACTGTTAATGTATCAATTCTCCATACTAATCGTATTTATAAAGGGCACATTTTTTAATCCACCAGATAGAGGAACAGCTGAAAACTTCAGACGTAAGTAAGCTTGACATGATACTGCAGGAGAGCAAAAACCAAAACTAATAACTTCATTTTTACCCTCTCTCACAAAAGGAAAACTACCCTCTCAAACAAATGAAACAGGAAAGTGAGAAATCATGACTTGTTGCTTAATGCCTCCCAGGGGGATTATTCTGAATTCTGCAGACCTGCTGCTGCACAGGGAATGCAGAAACTCTTTTCAGTTTTCCAATTCTCTACAGCAATTCTAATGAAGTCCCACTGAGTCCTAGTCCAAGCTAAAATTTTGAATTTGGATCTGAAAATAGCTGTAAATATTTTCTTTTTGTTACTTTTTTTCTTTGCAGAAAAAGCCAGTGTTGGGGTTCCTAGTGCAGCAGATGCTTGCTAGAAGATAGGAATACATTATGCATAAACCAACTTGTTTTATTATAAACACTGAATTTAAGTTGTGTTTTTTTCTATGTCCTAAATAATATTAATCAATGAAATTCATCTTAAAAATTTAATACAGAAAACTCTTTGTATTTATAAGCATGAAGTGATTGAAATCATGGGAAATAAGTAGAAATTATAAGCTGTATATCATAAGGGTCTACAAATAAACCATGGCAGCGAGGCGCAGTGGCTTACACCTGTAATCCCAATACTTTGGGAGGCCAAAGCGGGCGGATTACCTGAGGTCAAGAGTTCGAGACCAGCCTGGCCAACATGGTGAAACCCCGTCTCTACTAAAAATGCAAAAATTAGGCATGGTGGCCCATGCCTGTAATCCAGCTACTTGGGAGGCTGAGGCAGGAGAATTACTTGAGCCCGGGAGACAGAGGTTGCAGTGAGCCAAGATAGTGCCACTGCCCTCCAGCCTGGCCGACAGAGTGAGACTCTCAATAAATAAACAAACAAACCATGGCATGAAAACATGGCATGAAAAGTTTAATGGGCTATTAAAAGGAAATTGAAAGGAGATTTGGAAATTTCTTTGTCTGGCATTCAAACATCTACACATTTCCTTACTCAGCAGCAACCTTTCACAGCATATGGGAACTCTAGTGTTTCTTATAAATTAAGCTTTTGTACATCTCTGTGCCTTTCTCAAAATTGTTCCCACTGTTTAGCCTTGTAAAAAACCTATTTTAGAATGAAAAAGAACTCTTAATTAATTTTTTTTCATTCAGTATTTTTGGTTCTGGAATTCAAAAAGTTTAGTTCTTGACCTACCTCTTACTCATAGGTTCCACCTTGATCTACCACCACTAGGATTCAGAAAAAGCAAAGAACCTGCTTGCAAAAGGCAAGCAGGAAAAACCATTCCTAGGGAAAGGAAGTCTAGCAGGAGTTTGACTGAATAACGAAGTCTTAAGAATAAAGGAGGCAAAGCCAAGTACTAGTGTTTTTTCTTACCTAAGCTCCTGGTGAACTCCTATCTTAAATCTTGAAATTGGCATGTGACAACTTAGATGACAGGTTGATAGGTGCAGCAAACCACCATGGCACATGTATACCTATGTAACAAACTTGACATTTAGCACATGTATCCCCAAACTTAAAGTAAACAATAAATAAATAAATAAATAAAATTAAAAATAAAAGAAATTGGCATGTGACTAAAAACTGAAGGCATAGTGTGCTAGTGGTATGAGACCAGTGGAAGTGACAGCAAAGGCATTCTTGAGTGGTAGTACCCAGTAAATGTGACATGGCAAACGAAGTACTGGTCAGAAGAAACCCTGCTAGAACCTGGAAAATCAGCTAGCTCCAGACTGGTTTATAAACACATACAAGATACTGCTTAGGGACTTTAGCAACTCTTGACGGAACTTATGTTATATGGGGTTGAGGTCCTATATTTGTATGTAGGGCAAAAACTTGGAAAACAATGTTTACAGATTTTCTCATCAGCAAGAGAAGCTAATACTTCTGTATTTAACCTAAAAGATTGTTACAAGGATAACATGAGATAATATAGATGAAAGCTATTTACACTTGAAAATGTCATCAAATATTCTATGACATATAGTAGTTATGCAGCAAATAGAAGACAGAAAGGAAGAAAAGGAGAGGGAGGGGAGAAAGAAAGAAGTAAAAGCAAAGATATTTATTTATATGGTTGCTATTATTAAACTTTTAAGAAATTAGTCAAATTCCCCCATGAAATCTTCCTCCTGATGCTAACCCATACTAACCAAACCCTCTCAGACCTTTTCCTTACCTGGTGTTGCATTCCTCAATTAGCATTTAAGTAGAACAGTCGTAGAGTCTAATCATATAAACAATAGAATTTATGATCTCTGCATAAGTAGTATCCATGTCTCTCTGTTTTGTATTTTAGAGCTTTAAGCATTGGCAATGCCTAGTAAAGAGCTTTAATCAATCCTCAATAACTTACCACACAATCATTGGATGAAGGTTAAAGGATTTTTATCTTAGTTTGTTTGGGCTGACACAACAAAATTCCTAAGACTGGATAATCTATAAACAGAAATTTATTGCCCGCACTTCTGGAAGCTGGGAAGTCCAAGATCAAGGCCCCATCAGATTCAGTCTCTGGTGAGGGCCTGTTCCTCATGTATGGCACCTTCTATGTGTCCTCAGATGGAAGAAGGGGTGAACAAGCTCCCTCAGGCCTCTTTTATAACAGCAATAATCCCACTCATGAGAGCTCCACCCTCCTGATCTAATCACCTCCTAACCTCACCTCTTAACATCATTGCATTGGGGATTGTGTCTCAACATACAAATTTTGAGGGGACACAAACATTCACATAGACAGTAAGGAGACTCTTAAAGTTTGACTGAGAAAAACTGACTTTCACATCTCAGCATTGACACTTAGTAGATGTGTAAATTTGGCCATATTACCTAACTTTTCCGAGCCATTTCTTATCTAAAAAACGAAGAACATGGACAGTGCTGAAATTGTAGTTTGTGATAACATATAAAAAAGAATGCATAACATATAATAGATAATATATGTTGGGTAAATTTGAATTTAACAACTTTTTAAACTAGTATTCTTTGACTTGTATGTAAGCCAAATATGCCCCAAAAGACAAAGATAATAGTGTTAGAATACAACATACTCCCAGGTGAGAATTTATCTTAAAATAATATATTTTAAAATTGGATTTCCACAAGCACAGTAAAAGCAGGACCTGCCTGCATATAACATGTGAATATGTCTCATTCATGAATTATTTTATGTATATGAGTTTTGTGTCCTCAAATAAATTATGAGTTTTTGTGGGCAGCAGTTATATCTTATACTCACACATATTATTTGATAAATTACATAGCACTGGGAGCAGGTTTTCAATACTACGAATTCATTCATTCATGGATACAAAGCAACTGTCTAGGAAGAGACAAATTGGAACCCACAGCACTAAACTCTGTAATTAGACGAATCGGCAAGTTTATATTCAATTTCTTGATTACATTGTCATTTATCATTTTTTCTCCTTTAACATGAACATAGAACAAAACTTTAAACTAGGGTCACCATGTGGCAAAATAATGACCAATGACATGTGTTATGTCTTTCTAAAGGGAGGGGGAAAATAATATAATCACATACCCATTTCAAGGAAAAGCCACAAGACAGCCACAGCATGCATGTGTGCATGTGTGTGTGCAAAATTTTTGACTTAACTCAAAATAACATTGTCTCGCTAAAGACTAGGATTTTAGAAAAGTTTAGCTTTGCAATTCTTCCAAAATAAAGATATATTTTAAATGTGATCTCTTTTAGAATTAGAATTTGGGTTAGGATTAGGGTCAGGCTGAAATATAAATATCTCTGTCTGTTGCGGGAAGTCAGGGACCCCGAATGGAGGGACCAGCTGAAGCCATGGCAGAAGAACATGGATTGTGAAGATTTCATGGACATTTATTAGTTCCCCAAATTAATACTTTTATAATTTCTTATGTCTGTCTTTACTGCAATCTCTAAACATAAATTGTGAAGATTTCATGGACACTTATCACTTCCCCAATCAATACCCTTATGATTTCCTATGGCTGTCTTTACTTTAATCTCTTAATCCTGTCAGCTGAGGAGGATATATGTCGCCTCAGGACCCTGTGATAATTGCGTTAACTGCACAAATTGTAGAGCATGTGTGTTTGGACAATATGAAATCTGGGCACCTTGAAAAAAGAACAGGATAACAGCAATGTTCAGGGAATAAGAGAGATAACCTTAAATTCTGACCGCCAGTGAGCCGGGTGGAACAAAGCCATATTTCTCCTTTCAGAAACAAATGGGAGAAATATTACTGAATTCTTTTTATCAGCAAGGAACATCCCTGAGAAAGAGAATGCGCCCCTGAGGGTGGGCCTCTAAAATGGCCCCCTTGGGTGTGGCCATCTTCTATGGTCGAGCTGTAGGGATGAAATAAGCCCCAGTCTCCCATAGCGCTCCCAGGCTTATTAGGACGAGGAAATTCCCGCCTAATAAGTTTTGGTCAGACCGGTTGCTCTCAAACCCTGTCTCCTGACAGATGTTATCAATGACAATGGTGCCTGAAAGTTCCTTAGCAATTTTAATTTCGCCCCGGTCCTGTGGTCCTGTGATCTCGCCCTGCCTCCATTTGCCTTGTGATATTCTATTACCTTGTGAAGTACGTGATCTCTGTGACCCACACCCTATTCGTACACTCTCTCCTCTTTTGAAAATCCCTAATGAAAACTTGCTGGTTTTACAGCTTGTGGGGCATCACGGAACCTACTAACATGTGATGTCTCCCCCAGACACCTGGCTTTAAAATTTCTCTCTGTTATACTCTGTCCCTTTATTTCTCAAACCGGCTGATGCTTAGGGAAAATAGAAAAGAACCTACATGAAATATCGGGGGTGAATTTTGCCCAATATCTGGCTGAATTTCCCCCGATATCTGTCTATACTTACAATGGCACTTTTTCTATTTCCTGGTTTATCACATCTAGCTCCTCCAGTGTTATGTATTTTTCTAAGTGAAAGGAGTATAATCTCTTCCTACAGTCAAATATGTCCTGAGTTTCTCTTTAAAAAATTCCCTTACTAATCAAAATGAAAGGTATTTTTAATTGCTTTTTTAAAAAATGATTTTAAAACCCCTATCCAGTTATTTAATAGGCACATAGGACAACTAAATTCCCTTAACTATTGTTTGTTAAGTTATGGACTCAAGAACAATCAGTCTAAAGTCTTGGCTTGCTTTAGAGAGCTGCTAGTTCCTGTTCTCACCCTGCCTAACCAGAAGTGTTTCCACTACTGAGCATGCTTTCTCCCTAGATAAAGTAGATCTCTCCAAGCCCTATCCTCACTGTGTTCATCAGCATATCTGGGTTGTCTCCAAATGTTCCTTCAATCCTTATCTTTTTCTTTTCAATTTTTCAAATTCCATACTTTCTTCAAAATTTAACAGCACATTACGATACTTGCTATGCCTTATCTCATTCCAGAGGAAACTGCCAGGACCACAGTTCCTGTTGCAGGAGAAGCCATAATGAGTAAGTCTAAATTGAATGCATATTGGCTTCTGACCCAAGCATTGGCTTGGGACCTATGACATAATACGGTATGAAGCTAAGTGGGGATAATCAGAAGTTCCTTCTCTGGAATTTAAATTGAGAAATTTTATAGGAGAGTGGCTCATAAAAGCAGGAAATAAAAGAATGCAATTAGCAGAAACGAGATAAAATTGAGGCTTTGGCAGGTGAAAAGTTGTAAAAAAAATTTATAAGTAAGGAGAAACTCAGATATAAGAACAACAAAGCAAAAACCAACTCAACAAAGAGAAAGAAAGAATAGTCTGATGAAAATATGTCGGGGATGGAGTTTGAGAGTAGACGGGGGCACTAAAACGAACTGAGCTATGTTATTGTGAAACTTGAGAGTTAAAAACAAGAAATCCTGTTTAGACATCTATCTCAGTGTTCTTGCCCAAGCAGGATTTGTGTTTCCCTTGAGGTACTACACATGTATATGATTAGGTGTTGCTTACCGACCTCTAATTCATTAAATTATCTTTACCACCAGATTAGAAGCATCTTGAGCTCTGATATCCTGTCTTACTCTTTCTCTTTTTTTCTCTTTTACCCAAAAACCTAGCACTAAACAATACTTCTCACATAGAAAATGTTCATTAAGAGATTCAAAACAAGTTAAAGGCCCTACATATTAATTTTATCCAGAAATCTACAAGATAATGACTCCAAGTCTTGTTATTTCAGTTTATAAAGTAACAAGGAATGCAATTTAACTTCTAACATGTTTATTTCCCCCTTTTTTGTCAATATTATTAAGGCTTGGCAATAATAACTCACAGCATAGCTGGAGCTAAGTAACAGAAGACTTCAATCCACAGATTTTTGAGTCTGATAAATGGCAAGAACAAGTCAAAGGTTGTTTATGCCAAGAAAAACAATACCATCTTTTCATATATAAGAAGAAGAAAAAGAGAGTAATACTATTTGATTATCTCTTCCTAATACTTATTCTTTCAAATGGAAGAATGCCAAATACAAGTTCAGACTTTTTAAATGGAAAAAAGTTATAATAATTAGTATAAAATGAGTCAAATATGCTAGTTACAGAAAGATTTCAGAATAATTCCTTAGTAGTTTCAAACTCTATAGAAATGGATAAAACAGAAGTAGTAGTCCTGTTGAAATCTGAAGATAGTTATTAAGTTACCATTCAGCTTCCTCTTCTTTCAAATAATACTGGGTTCTTTAGAGTTTTCAAGCAGGTCATCTTTTTCATCCCTTTAATCACTGTGGTTGGTCTTTTCTGAAAAAAACAGTTTTTCCACATCCTTCTCAGGTAATTTTCATGACTTTACAATGGCTTGTGTTTAATGGCAGAGTGAGCCAAAGGATCAGAGATTTATTTGGCTCTTATTAGCTTGTATTACAATAGTGAGAGAATGTTCTGGCTTATAGACAAGGAGGAAGCAATAAATATAGCATGTCTTACCTTCAGGAAAGGTTTTGATTCTATTATGAGTACCATTTTACTCAGCAAGCCAGAAAGTTAATCATCTTCATTACATAACAAACGGGGGTTCATGGAACCTCACCCTTCTAATTCTTATAATGCTGAACCAAATAAAGTGGCCCTTGTACTCACTTGTATACCTTTGAGGGGGCAGGGGCAATCTAGTTGATGTCCTATTTTGATGCTCTCCTGCAGCCTATTAGGTCCTGAGTTCCTCTGGCTTATCAGTCAATGAACCAGGGTTCACTTTTCCAGACTGTACCTTTCTGTTACTCTTCCTTATACTAGTATAACATTTTTATAGGGTTGATATAAGCTTTGCTCATAAAAATACGGGAAGAAAAATCAGAGAATATAACAAATGGAGACATTTTAAAATCACAGAGAATTAGTGTTCTCACTGTCCCTGGAAATTCACTCACTGATTTAAGTTCCTAAGTTAATTATCATAAGTTTTAGTTGCTATCTTGATCTGCACCTAAAACACTCCCCTTTGGTATCATTAATGTTCCAAGATCAGCTACTGAGAAGCAACATAGGTGAGGTATTGAATAGGAAAACAGGCTGGGAGGGTCTTTTTTCTCCTGGGAATGCTGAATAAACTGTGGGTTGTATGCCTGCATTTTGACTGAAACTCATTACATAAGGTCACATGTGGAATTTTCCATTTTTATCATGTTGGTGCTCAAATACTTTCAGATTTTGGAGGATTTCTGATTTTAGATTTTCCGATTAGGGATGCTCAACCTGTTCTTCTAAAAGCTTAGCTAACTATATGGGTCCTCTTCAGTTTAAAACATGGATTATGTGTCCTTCAGCATGTTCCATTCCACCTCACATGAGTAATGCTCTGGGAGGTGTACAAGCTTATATTTCACGCTCTTAAGATCTACTGATCAAAAATCTAGCCCGAAAGTCCATGAGGGCAAGGATTATGTCTTATACCTCTTTATAGCCCTCTTTGTGCTTGGCATTGTTCATTTTACCCTGAACTTACTCAATAATTGAGGGACAGAGCAGGATTTATACTTAGGATGCTGGACCCAGAGTTTATACCTGGGTCACTGCCCCTAGGCTGGGATGGAGCCAGGTTTTCACCAGCCAGTCTAGACAAGGAATGAAGTCTCATCTGTAGATACAGTGAAACCCCTTTGTCCTACCATAAGCTAATTAATGAAATGAAACTTTTTGAAAATTAATAGAATTTAGATGCAATACCAGAATTTATAGTATAAATAATTAGGATAAAAACATAACTTTTTAACTCACGAAGTGCATATGGTGTGGCAGAGATTGTTCGGCAAGTTTGCTGCTTCACTTGTCTTTGTTTCCTAAAGATAAATTTAGTATCATGCAAGAAATGCACATTACATCCTTTCGGTGCAATAATATTTCACATAAATTTGATTTGCCTGAAGCCAATACTGTAAATAAAGCAAACATATTCTGTGTTTCATTTTTTAAAAAGAGTGATGAACGCAGTTCCTGGGCTTATTTAAGCTTCCTGCGTTTTATAACTTTTTCAGTGGGATGAATTAGCATGATGTGGTGAAACAGGCTGGCAGATGCCAGAGGAAATTAAGACTTCCTGGGCATACAAGTAAGAGAACTCCACATATAGCAGAGAAATAAGAACAATCTGATTTTCAAAGCAGTTGCTAATCTTATTTCTGCTCATATCTACTCTACATGTTTCTCCTGATGTGAAACTTTTATGAAGTTCCAGTTTTAGGGTTCACTGAAGAAAAGACTGCCAATAATCCTGAACCCTGCCATATTTTATCAAAGCTTAGACAGACAAATGGTCATAAGGAACTGAAATAAAAGGAATTTAGTATCTCAGTGGACTGCTGTAAGTAGGATTCCTAACCCAAAGACCAAATACTGAGAAGTCAAACGTAAATATGTGTGTGTTTGCATGTATGCGCATAGACATATATGTGCATACGCATATATGTGTACGTGGAGAGAGGAAGAAACGAAGAAGAAAGAATGAGAGAGGGGTAGGGGAGATTCAGAGACTAAATTGGGAAGAGTAAAAGTAGAAGAGTAGCTTCAAATAGATTTGGTCTGAAGGCTAATTTGTGAAAGTACAATTAGAGAAAGACAATGACTGCAATTATAAACCTCATTATCTTTAACAGTTAAGCAATTGTTAAAAGACACAAAAAGTAATTTAAGCTTTATGTGCTATCAACCATGCAAAAGTTATTAAATTCATCATTTGTACATATGTGGAAATATAGACATATGTTAACATCTTATATTTAAGGATATGTTGAGCAGGTATGCATTCTATAGTAAATAAATATATAATGAAAAATAGATATAGAAACCAGTGATTGAATAACATGACTTTGTAAACCAAGCAAAAGGAAAAAACACCTCCTCTCTTTCTCTAGCTGATATTCTCATTGTCACTGACAGGTTAGTATAATAGTAAAAATGTCAGCAATTATTTTAAACCAAGAAGCAATACAATTTCATTTTTTCTAGCCAAGAAAATAAATCACTATATCTAAAAATATAATTAAAAAATGATTAAAATTGATAGCTGGTAATGCTTTTTATTCATTAAACCATTAAATTCTCACTGTAACCCCATTTGATTGGAAAGGAAAGTAAGGCTTCAAGATGTTGAGTAACTTGTCCAGTCACAAAGTAAATGGTAGATATGGGATGTGAATTCAGTTTCCTGTTGTTCCAGAGCAGGAGTAGCAAACCCTACAGTTACCCTACAGCAAATTCATTGGGAAAATGGGCTCTCATTGTCCAGTCAAATGTTTTAAAAGAATAAAGCCTTTTAGCAGGGCAGGTATATATGCTCTGTTGACCCTATTCTGATTCTTGATTACTACATTTAAAACTACCTCAAAATGTCGTGGCATAAAATCTCTACTATTTTATTGGGCTCACATTTTTATATGTTAGGAAGTCAGGAAGTACTCAGGTGGGGGGTTCATCTCTAATCCATCTGCTATTAACTGGGGTCAGCTGGTGCTGAAAGATTGGCTTCCAACTTGGCTTCTTCATTTGCAGGTCTGGCACTTTTGTTTTCCCTGGGCTTTCTGTTTCTAGCACAGCCTCTCAGCCTCCAAGCCCTCTCCACATGGGCTTGGGTGGGAGTAGTCACACTTATTAAATGGTGGTTAGCTTCCAACAGGGAGGAAGTACAAGTTTCCAGGCCAGTTAAGGGCTGTGCCTGTTACTGGCAGTATCAGTTCTGCATACTGTATTGGTCAAAGCAGTCTGGGGCTGCTGTCTCAGATTCAAGTAGGTGGCAAAGTAAACTTTACCTCTTGATGGAAGAGTTATAACAGCTCAATGCAGATGAGAGATGTTGTGCTCGTCTTTGGAAAAGACAATCTGTCACAAGCCCTGTAACTCCAAATTGCTTTAAATCTAGTATCTTCAGATATTGAAAATACTTGCCAACCACACAAGGACTAGAGTTTATGTCTATACAGTAGAGCTTATTTTTATAACTACCATTAAATCATCTTCTCCTAATCTTAAATACTAATTATATACAGATAACAAAAGAAAGTCAACACTGAAAATAAATATAAAACAAATATGCACAAAATTACAAGAAGAATTTAAAATATGCTTATGGAAAATAATATTAAAGGTTATAATATAAAAATTAATGGGTGGGGCATGATGGCGCATACCTGTATTCCCATTACTTTGGGAAGCTGAGCAGGTGGATCACTAGAGCCCAGGAGTTCAAGACCAGTGTGCAGCAGCATGGTAAAACCCCGTCTCTACAAAAAATACAAAAATTAGCCAGATGTGGTGGTATGTGCCTATAGTCCCAGCTACTCGATGGGGTGGGGGCAGGAGGTTGGGGTGGGGGGATCCATTGAGCCTGGGAAGTTGAGGCTGCAGTGAGCTGTGATTGCACCACTGCACTCCAGCCTGCATGACAGAGTGAGACCCTGTCTCAAAAAAAAAAAAAAAAAAAAAACTAACAAAAGCTATTAAAAGTCATTTTTTTAATTGTGGACACAGCCATGCCTGTTAATTAAGAATAACAATTTAGAAAGGCCAGGAATTTTGTATTCTAATTTGACACTTAATAGAGGTATGCACTTGAATATATTAATTTACCATACTGAGACTGCATAAAGGAGACAGTATACATAAAATTCTTAGTATGGTGCCTGCACAAATTGAATTAGGACCCAACAAACTTTAGTTATACTTACTTGGAGGACGGCCTGATAATTTTGTGTTTTTACAAAATTCTTTATATTTATATATACAAACTTCTAACACCTAATACTGACTTGACAATCATAGGCCTATTTTAAAGACTTTTCTATCCAAGCAAAAGATGGACATCATTTCATTAATTCAATGTTTATCTCTGTGTAGATATTTTATTAAACACTCAGGAAAGTGCCTGAACACTCAAAACAGTAGAGTCAATCCTCATTATTTTCAGATTGCATATATTTTGTCTACTACTAAAATGTATTGGTAACCCCCAAATGAGTACAACATTTATGTGGTCATTCCTGGACATGTGCAAAGCAGCAATTTGAGCACCTGGCATGCACATTCCCAGCTGAAGGCAACCTCTCCCTTCTTATTTCAGGTCTCATAGTCTAAACAAGTTTCCTTTTGAGGGCCTATTTAATGCCATGCTTTTGGAATTTTTGTGCTGTTTATTGGTGTTTTGCTATTTAAAATGGTTCTCAGGTGTAGTGCCAAAGTACTGCCTAGTGTTACTAAGCACAAGGCTGTAATGTGCTTCACAGAAAAGTATCTGTGCTAGATAAACTTAGTTCAGGTGTGAGTTTTCGTGCTCTTGGCTATGAATTCAATGTTAATGAATCAACAATATATATTAAGTAAGGCATCTTTAAACAGAAAGACACATAAAATAAGGTTATGTATTGATTGGTTGAGGAAAATGTGAACATAAGCTCCCAGGAACCTAACCCTAGATTTCCCCTAGAACTAATGCTTTAGCACTCACTAATTCAGCATTTGTGGTAACTTTATAGAACATGAGCACTGCAAATAATGAGAATTGACTGTATTTGATATTTCAATATACACAATTTATCTGGGGTGGTATATGTAATATAATGTAAACAAGAGCATTGGAAAGATTAACTGATAGATGTAGGCACAAAACAATATAAAAGAAGTCAATTATCCCGAACTCAGATTTATGGTGGTTATTTGGAACATGGCCTGGAGGCTGAAATTCAGGAAAGGTGACCCTGTTCAATAAATGGTGCTGGGAAAACTCGATAGCCATATGTAACCATATGTAAAGAACTGAACTCCTATCTCTCACCATAGAAAAAAATTTAACTCAAGATGGATTAAAGATTTAAATGTAAGATCTGAAACTATGGAAAGAAAATCTAGAAAAAATTATTTAGGACATTGGCCTAGGCAAAGAATTTATAACTAAGATCTCAAAAGCAACTGCAACAAAAATAGAACTGGACAAATGAGACTTGATTAAACTAAAGGCTTTCCGAACAGCAAAATAATCAATAAACAGACAACTGACAGAATGGGAGAAAATATTGGCAAATTTTACATCTGAGAAAGGACTAATATCCAGAGTCTACAACAAACTTAAACAACTCAACAAGAAAAAAACAAATAACACAAATAGAAAGTAGGCAAAGGACATGAGCAGACATTTCTCCAAAGAAGACATACATTTTTGCAGCCAATGTTAAGTTGGCATTGGTTTAAAGTAATGGGTTATAATATGTTATTTGCAAACCTCATGGTAACCCCAAATAAGAAATCCTACAACAGATACACAAAAAATAAAAAGCCAGGAATTAAAACATACCACCAGAGAAAATCGCCATTATAAAAAGGAAGACAAGAAAAAGGAAGAAAGGAAGAGAAGACCACAAAACACCAGAAAACAAAAAACAAAACGTCAGGAGTAGGTCATTGCTTATCCATAGTAACATTGAATGTAAATGGACTAAACTCTCCAATCAAAACTAATAGAGAACCTGGATTAAAAACAGCAACAATAATGATCTGTTATATACAAGAAACACACTTCACCTATAAAGACACACATAGACTGAAAACGAAAGGATTCAAGAAGATATTCCATGCAAACAGAAAACAAAAAAGAGCAGGAGTAGCTATACCTATATCAGACAAAATAGACTTCAAAACAAAAACTATAAAAAGAGGAGTCAATAGACTATAGACTATTGGTTATAGTCTATTTCCTAGTAGTCAATAGATTAAAGGCACTATAGAGCAAATGAAACTAATAGATATTTACAGAACATTTCACTCAATGATTGCAGAATACACTTTCTTCTCCTTAGCACATGGATCATTCTCAAGGATAGACCATATGTTAGACCACAAAACAAGTCTTATAAAATTCAAAAGAATTTAAATTAGATCAAGTATCTTCTCTAACCACAATGGAATAAAACTAGAAATCAGTAGCAAGATGAAATTTGCAAACTATACAAATGGATGAAAATTGAACATGGGCTCCTAAATGATAAGGGGTCAATAAATAAATTAAGAAGAAAATTTAAAATTTTCTGAAAACAAATTATAATGGAAACACAACATTCTAAAACCTATGGGATACAGTGAAAAAGCACTACTAAGAGGAAAGTTTATAGCAATAACTGCCTACATAGAAAAAGCAGAAAAACTTCAAATAACTTCCCAATGCACCTTAAAGAACTAAAAAATGAAGAGCAAATAAACCCCGAATTATTATATGAAAAGAAATAATAAAGATCAGAACAGAAATGAATGAAATTGAAGCAAAAAATATATAAAAGATCAAAAAATGAAAAAAGTTCATTTTTTGAAAAGATAAACAACATTGACTAAACTTTAGCCAGACTAAGAAAAAGAGAGAGAAGGACCAGATAAATAAAATCAGAGACAAAAAAAGGAGACATTACAACTGACACCACAGTAGTTCAAAGTATTAGAGACTACTATGAGAAACTATATGCCAATAAATTGGAAAACCTAGAATAAATGAATAAATTCCAAGACACATACAACTTACCAAGATTGAAATATAAAGAAATCCAAAAACTGAACAAAACAATAACAAGCAATAAGATTGAAGGCATAACAAAAATTAAAAAGTCTCCCAGCAAAGAAAAGCCTTGAACCTAATGGTTTCATTGCTAAATTTTACCAGTTAAAGAACTAATACCAACACTACTCAAACTATTCTGAAAAATACAGGAGTAGGAAATATTTCCAAACTCATTTATGAAAGCAGTATTACCCTGGTATTTTACCCTGGTATTTTCAAAACCAGACAAATACATATCAAAAAATATAACTATAGGCCAATATCTTTGATAGTTATCAATGCAAAAATTTTGACAAAATACTAGCAAACAAAATTCAATAACACATTAAAAAGATCATTCATCACGTCCTATTGGGATTCATCCCAGGGATGCAAGCATGGTTCAACCTACACAAATCAATCAATGTGATATATCATATCACAGATTGAAGGACAAAAACCATATAATATTTCAATTGATGCTGAAAAAGGATTTGATACAATTTAGCATCCCTTCTTGACAAAAACTCTCAAAAAAACTGTATAGAAGGAACATTCCTCAACACAATAAAAACCATATACAAAAGATTCATAGCTAGTATCATACTGAATCAGCAAAAACTGAAAGCCTTTCCTCTAAGATTTGGAACATGACAAGGATGCCCACTTTTACCACTGTTATTCAACACAGTACTGGAAGTCCTAGCTAGAGTAATCAGACGAGAGAAAAAAATAAAGGGCATCCAAACTGGAAAGGAAGTAGTAAAGGTATCCCTGTTTGCAGATTACATAATCTTATATTTGGAGAAACCTAAAGACTCCACCAAAAAAACTATTTGAACTAACAAAGAAATTAAGTAAAGTTGTGGGATACCACAATAGCAACATGTAAAAATCAGTAGCATTTCTATATGCCAACAGCAAACAATTTAAAAAAGAAGTCAAGAAAGCAATCCCATTTACAACAACTATGAATGAAATTAAATACCTAGGAAGACAATCAAAGAAGTGAAAGATCTCTACAATGAAAATTATAAAACACTGATGCAAGAAATGTAAGAGGACACAACAAAGGAAAAGATATTCCATTTTCATGGGTTGGTAGGATCAATATTACTAAAATACCCACACTATCCAAAGCAATCTGGAGATTAAACGTAATCACTATCAAAATACTGATAACATTCTTCACATAAACAGAAAAAAGGATTCTAAAATTTATATGGAACACAAAAGACCCAGAATAGTCAAAACCATCCTGGGCAAAAAGAAGAAAACTGGAGGAATCACATTACGTGACTCCAAAGTATACTACAGAGCTATAGTAATCAAAACAGCATGGCACTGGCATAAAAACAGACAGACCAATAAAACAGAATACAGAACCCAGAAATAGGTCCATACATCTACAGTGAACTCATTTTTAACAAAGGTGCCAAGAATATTCATTGGGGAAAGGACAGTCTCTTCAACAAATGATGCAAGGAAACCTGGATACCTATATACAGAAGAATGACTCTAGACTCCTATCTCTCACCATACACAATAACTATACAAAAATCAAATAAAAATAGATTAAATACTTAAATCTAAGACCTCAAACTATGAAATTACTAAAATGAAACATTGGGGAAACTCTCCAAGACACTGATCTTGGCAAAGGTTTCTTGATTAATACCCCACAAGCATATGCAACCAAAGCAAAAATGGACAAATGGGATCACATCAAGTTAAAAAGCTTCTTGCGTAGAAAAGGAAACAATCAGCAAAGAGACAACCCACAGAATGGGAGAAAATATTTGCAAACTGTCAATCTAATATATAAGAAGTTCAAATAACTCTATAGGAAACGTCTAATCTGACTTTAAAATGGCAAGAACTGAATAGATATTTCTCAAAAGAAGACATTCAAATGGCAAATAGGTAAATGATAAGGTACTCATCATTGATCATCAGAGAAGTGCAAATCAAAACTGCAATGAGACATCTCACACTAGTTAAGTGGACTTTTATTCAAGACAGGAAATAACTAATGCTGGTGAAGATGTGGAGAAAAGGAAACCCTTATACACTGTTGGTGGGAATGTAAATTAGCACAGCATTCATGAAGAACAGTATGGCTGTTCCTCAGTTAACTAAAAACAGAACTATCATATGATCTATTGATCCCACTGCTAGGTATATACCCTAATGAAAGAAAATAAGTATGTTAAAGAAATATCTACACTTCCATGTTTATTTTAGTACTATTCAGAATAGCCAAGATTTGGAAGCAACCTGTGTCCCTCAACGGATGAATGGATAAAGAAAATATGGTACATATATACAATGGAGTATCATCCACCCATAAGAAAGAATGAGATCCTGTCATTTGCAACAACATGTATGGAACTGGAGGACTTTAAGTGAAATAAGCCAGACACATCAAGGCAAACTTTGCATGTTTTCACTCATGTGTGGGAGCTAAAAGCTATTGTTTCTATTGAACAATAGAAATGCATACAAAAATATAGATAGAATAAATACAAGAGTATTTGATAACACCATGAAGATTACAGTCAATAATTTATTGTATATTTTAAAATAACTAAAGAGTATAATTGTGTAACACAAAGTAATGATAAATGCTTGAGGTGATGAATACCCCATTAACCCTGTTGTGATTATTACACATTGTATGCCTGTATCAAAATGTCTCATGTACTCCATAAATATATTCATCTACTATATACGTATAAACATTTAGAAATAAAAAGAACACATACAAGTGGCCAAAAAGCATCTGAAAAACTGCTCAACATCATGAATCAGAGAAATACAAATTAAAATGAAAATGAGATACCGTCTCACACCAATCAGAATGAGTGCCATTAAAAAGTCAAAACAACTGATGTTGGCAAATGTGTCAGTCTGTTTGCACTGCTATAAATGAATATGTGAAGCTGAGTAATTTATAGAGAAAAGAGTGTTATTTGGGCTCACAGTTCTGCAGGCTGTAAAGGAAGCATGGTGCCAGCATCTGCTTCTGGTGAGGGTCTCAGGAAGCTTCTAATCACGGCAGAAAGCAAAGGGGAGCCAGCAAGTCCCATGGCCAGAGAGGGAGCAAGAGGCAAAAGCAGAAGTTCAGGTTCTTTCATACAGCCAGGTTTTGAGTGAATTCATAGAGTGAGAACTCAGTCACTACCATGAGGACAGCATCAAGCCATTCATGTGTGATCCACCCCCATGACCCAAACACCTTCCACCAGGCTGCACCTCCAATCATTGGGGATTACATTTCAGCATGAGATTTGAAAGGGACAAACATCCAAACCATATCATCAAGGATGTGGAGAAAAGGGAATACTTACACACTGTTGGTGGGAATGTAAATTAGCACAACCTCTATGGAAAACAGTATGGAGATTCTTAAATAACTAAAAATAGAACTACCATTCAATCCAGCAATCCCCACTACTGGGTATCTACTCAAAGGAAAGGAAATCATTATGTCAAAAAGACATCTACATTTATATGTGTATTGCAGCACTATTCCCAACAGCAGAGCCATGGAATCAACATAAGTGTCCATGAAAAGATGACTGAATAAAGAAAATGTCTTATATACACATCATGGAATAGTATATAGCCATAAAAAAGAATGAAATCATGTTTTTTTGGAGCAACACAAAGGAGCTGGAGGCCATTATTCTAAGCAAATTAATGCAGGAACAGAAAATCAAATACTGCATCTTCTCACTTATAAATTGCAGCTAAACAGTGGGTACACATTAACATACAGAGGGAAATAATAGACACTGGGGACTCCTAGTGTCTCGAGTCTATAAAAAAAATTAAAGAGAGAAGGCCTCTAAACAGCAGAGCTTTGTTGATCCTATGCTTCCCCCAGCCTATGCCTGCTTACCACCTTGAGCTCTGCCTCACATATTCATGGTTACTGAGACAGAATTATGGCGATTGAAGTAAGGGGCTGAGGATTATGATTTGTGAGGCACAGAAAAGCAAGAACTAGCTAAATGTAATGGTAAGTTATCTCTGTGAGGCTGGAAATAGAGTCAGAGCTAATTTGTGATATCTGAACCTGGAAAAGTTGATGGTTAGTAATGTGGTTAGACCATTTTATCATACACTCAAAAAACCATTGTTACTTGTCCATTATAGTCAATTTATGCATCAACAGGAAACAAGGCAAAAATCAGAATTGCAGCTATTAACTCGTTAAACATATTCTTACTTTTCTCCCTATTTTGACATGTGTGTCTCCCCCAATCTAAGAGTGGTTTTCAGTTATTCATTCAGCACTAATTAAGTACTTACTCTTTGTAAACATTAAATGTTTGAGGTAAAAAGATGAAAAGATTCTGTTGTTGTTGACTTGGAACTCACAGTCTAGCGAGAAAGACAGTTGTAGTATAATCTCATAATATGCTTATGAGAGCAGGTGTGAAAAATAAGTACTCTTTCACCATTTCAGCAGAAAATAGCAGAGTGAAAGTGTGTCGTAATACTAGAAACTGACAAATGGATCCTTGCATATGTGAGTCAATTTATAATTTAAGATGGTAGTGATAGCTCTGAAACATCAATGCAATGATTTTCAAATTCTAAAGTGCATTTAAATCCCCTGGGATCTTGTTAAAATACAGATTCTGATTCAGCAGCTCTGCAGTAGGACCTAAGACTGTGCATTTTCAGCAAGGTCCTAGGTATTGTTAATGCTGCTTATCTGCACACCACACCTTGAAAAGCCACTGGTTCATGAGCCCTATCTTTATATATTCCAATTCAATAGTCCCAGAGTGGGCCAAAGTATCTTCACTTTAAACAGCAATGCAAGTTATTCCAGTGCACATGGTGCTCACACACTTTCATAAAGCATTGATTTATGAGCTCATAAGATTTCTCCATTAGCAGTCTCTCCTTCTAAGATTAACACGTTTTCTAATTCCTGCCACCTGGACATTTTTTAACACACCTTGTTAATTTAGAGAGATGCAAAATAAAACTGAAAAATAACACATTATGCTCAAAATTAAAGTAGAATTTAGAAGACATGTTCAGATTTACTTCTTCCAAAATAAATACTTAGTCAGGATTCATTATTAGTTGATGCCTCGGGTGTTGTATTAGGTGCTAGGGTTACAAAGATTGAGAAGAAAAGATCCATGCTCTTTTAAATAAGCTTGTTTCAAATGAACAAATATGTACTGAATGCCATGCTAGACATCATGCTAGGCATAGAGGCATTGCACAGTCTTGCAGGAACTAGTCTTAGTTGTTTGGAAAATATTGCTTAAATAACTGAAATTTTCTCTTGGGTTTCCTCTGATTAGTTCCAAAATTATTCTGAAAACTTTAAATATGTGTGCCATATATAACTTCTTATATGCCCATTTGAACTGCCATCACCTAGTACACAAAAAAGAAGCATGTATTCAACAAATCTTGGTTGCATTTAATATAACTAAATTTCTAAATTCCAAAAATTATTACTGAGTTGCTTATCAAAGATAAAATAGCAATTCAAGCTTGATACTGTATTACAAGACTTTGTAATTACAAGACTTGTCTGCAAGCAGCCAACAAACATATGAAAAATGCTCAGCATTGCTAATCATCAGAGAAATGCAAATCAAAACCACATGAGATACCACCTCATACCAGTCAAAATGACTAATTAAAAAATTCAAAAATAATAGATTCTGGCGAAGTTACAGAGAAAAAGGAATGCTTATACACTGTTGGTGGTAATGTAAATTAGTTCAGCCACTATGGAGAGCAATTTGGAGGTTTCTCAAAGAACTAAGAATTCAACAAACATTTCACCCAGTGATCTCATTACAGGGTATATACCCAAAAGAAAATAAATCATTCTACAAAAAAGACACATGCACTTGTATGTTCATCACAATGCTATTCACAGTAGCAAAAATGTGGAATCAACCCAGGTGCCCATCAACAGTGGATTAGATAGAGAATGTAGTATATATACACCATGGAATACTACACGGCCATAAAAAAGAAAAAATTTATGTCCTTTCCAGCAACACAGATAGAGCTGGAGGCCATTATCCTAAGTGAATTTATAGAAACAGAAAACCAAATACTGCATGTCCTCACTTATAAGTGGAAGCTGAACATTGAGCACACATGGACATAAAGATGGGAACGATAAGACACTGTAACTACTGGAGGAAGGAGAGAGTGATGAGAGGGATAACGGCAAGAGCTGAAAAACTATCTACTGGGTATTATGCTTACTACCTGCATGATAGGACCATTCCTACCCCAAACCTCAGCATCATGCAATATTCCCATGTAACAAACCTCAACATGTATTCCCTGAATCTAAACTAAAAGTTGAAATTATTTTTTAAAAAAACAAATGTCTTTATGTGGCCTGTTTTACTCTTGCTATTTAAATTTCTACAATAGTCTTGATTTTTTCTCTTCCATGTTAATAGAAGAATAATTAAGAGAAGAATGCAAAACACACAAAGCCATGCTTTTCTTCCCCTCCCTGATTTTATCTCTAAATTGTCTCTATTAAATTAGAGCAAAAGAGACTCTACATTTAAAATTGCTTTATATTTTGTAACGTTGCTATACCCAAACAGTAAGTTTTTTGTCAGATGGCTGTGTCAAATACTGGAAACAGAGCAAAAAATCCCAATAAAGGTCATTTTAGTTGCAAATAAAGAACATGGTTTCTTCTGGGCAAAGTCTATGATCTGTGACATTACTAGCTCAAGAAAGGCATACTATTCTGTTTTCATTTATGTTCCAAACATGATCAGTTAACCTTAAAAATACCAAATAAATGCCACTGAAAATAGCTCAGCCTAGAATTCCTAGAGGAAAATAATTTCAGGTCTATTTCTGTAGTTATTACCAAAATAAGAAATGTGGTTGGTTATGGGTAAAAAAGTCACTGCAGAGAGGCTGAACTGATGATAATGGAAAAGCAACATGCAGGAAGAAAGCTGCAGCCATACTCAGAAGTGTAACTTGTAAATGCTGCCCAAGGCAGCAAACTAACTTTTATTTTTACCCTGACTTCTGCCTTATAGGTCTATAAATTCTTCCAGCCCCAGGATCTCTGATCTTAAAATGATTTCCTAGATATGCGTAGAGAATACAGTTTTCTCTTCAAACAAGGTTAGATACAGCACAATTTCTCATTTTTGTTCAAACTGATATATTAGCAGATTCAGCCTTGACCCAGGAAATAACAATAGGGCTAGAGGGGCATAATGCTTCGTGTTCTTAACCTACTTCAGCCAATAATTATTTCCATTTCAGGGCCAATTACTTACGTAATGAAGGACCTGTTTACTTACTCCCATCCCATCAAAAAAAAATTAAAGTTTTATTTACATCATTCAGTTTTTAAAGATCATATTAGAAAGGGATCACTTTTATCATAAGTAAACAAAAGACAGGCTATCTCAATGCATGTATACAACTCTACAAAATAATGGAAAGTAATGTTTTAATGATGGTGATTAGGGCCGGCCGCAGTGGCTTACACCTGTAATCCCAGCACTTCGGGAGGCCAAAGCAGGTGGATCACTTGAGGTCAGGAATTCAAGACCAGCCTGGCCAACATGGTGAAACCCCATCTCTACTATTATAAAAATACAAAAATTAGCTGGGCATGGTGGTGCATATAAGTAATCTCAGTTACTTGGGGGGCTGAGGCGGGAAAATTGCCTGAACCCGGGAGGTAGAGGTTGGAGTGAGCCAAGATCTTGCCACTGCACTCCAGCCTGGGTGACAGAGCGAGACTCTGTCTCAAAAAAAAAAAAAAAAAAAAAAAAAAAAAAAAAAAAAAAGATGGTGATTGGTTTTCATATAAGTATGCCAATCTGTCAATTTGAATTTTCAAAATTCTCTTCTATATTCTACTTAGAATAATTATGTGTCCTTCTGTGGAACTCCTCACCTCAATTTGTAGTAACAGTTAATTGTACCTCAGATATTTTTACCATTATGTTCATTACATAATGGTTTCATTAAATATTAGGATGAGGAATGGCTAATAAAATCCCCAAGATTTATTTAACCTTGTGCATTTTATTTTTAATATAAAAATTATTCTAGAGAATGTTACTTGATTATTTCCCACATTTTAAGGGGGATAAACAAAACAACCTTGTATTTTAACATTGAAATATTCTTAAAAGTAAAATTTGAAATACGCTAATTATACTGACATCTTTTGTAAGTGATAACACATAATTGAATGGCTCCTGTACCAGAAGAATCACAACTATGGAAAAAGACAAAGAGCCTAATTTATTCTGACTAATCAGGATTGATGCTAATTAAAGAAGAGTGCAAGATAATGACTTCATTACTACCTGATAGATGGAAATAGATTGTTCTTCTAGGTAAAATAGCAATTAAATAACTTTTTTAAAAGGATTTCTTTTCTGAAGACTTTCTTCTATAAATGGTGAAGTATTCATATAAAGGTCTTTTTGAGAAATCAACTAGAAAAAATAGATTTCATCAAAGGCTGTTTATTCTTTAGTATTTTGTCACATTTCCTGGATATGCACAAGAAAAAGACAGTATCTGAACAGGTGGCAATCAGAACAAAATTGACTTACATTATTCGGTGGAATGTTTTGCATTAAGAACATAGTCTAGTGAAGTGATTAAAGCACAAGTTCAAATCCTAATTCCTTCATCAATCAGCTCTGTGACCTGCAATCAGGTGTTTTAACCTCACTAAGGCTTAATTTTCTCACCTGTAAAATTTTTAAAATAATAGAACCTGCTTCATAGAGTGGCTTGAGTATTAAATAAAATTATCTGTGTAACACTCATAGCACAGAGCATGGCATTTAGAAAGAGCTAAATAAATATTAGCTAAAGTATTAGTTTTCTCTTGGCATGTAACAAATCACCACAAATTTAGTGGCTGAAAACAACACAGTGTTATTATCCCACAGGTTCCATGTGTCAGTACCCTGGGCTTGGGATTGCTGGGTCCTTTGCTCAGGGTCTTCCCAGAGGAAATTACGGTATTAGCTGGGGCTGCAATCTCATCTGGGGCTCAGGGTTTCTTCCTGGTTTACCAGTTGTTGGCAGAATTCAGTCCCTTGCACTTGGGAGACCGAGGTCCCTAGCAACTGGAGGTGTTACCCCATTCTCTGCCAAATGGCTCTTCTGTGGCATGGAGGTTTGTTCTTCAAAGCCAGCAAGAGTGCATCTACCGCTGCTTTCTTCTACCTACCTTCTTCCATCTCTGACTTCTAAATTGTTTTTATCTTTTATTTTTTTTTGGTGGGGAGCTTTGTCACCCAGGCTGGAGTGCAGTGGTGTGATCTCTGCTCATTGCAACATCTGCCTCCAGGGTTCAAGTGATTCTCCTGCCTTAGCCTCCCAAGTAGCTGGGATTACACGCCCGCCACCATGCCCAGCCAATTTTTGTATTTTTAGTAGAGACAGGGTTTTGCCATCTTGGCCAGGCTGGTCATGAACTCCTGACCTCAGGTGATCTGCCCACCTCGGCCTCCCAAAGTACTAAGATTACAGGTGTGAGCCACCACGCCCGGCCCTAAATTGTTTATTATTGTTATTTTTGAGACAGAGTCTCGTTCTGTCACCCAGGCTGGAGTGCAGTGGTGCGATCTCTGCTCACTGCAACCTCTGCCTCTCAGGTTCAAGCGATTCTCCTGCCTCAGCCTCCCAGTTGGATGGGATTGCAGGTATGTGCCACCATGCCCAGCTAATTTTTTTGTATTTTTTGTATTTTTAGTAGAGACGGGGCTTCATCATGTTAGCCAGGATGGTCTTGATCTCCTGACCTCGTGATCCACCCACCTCAGCCTCCCAAAGTGCTGGGATTACAGGCATCAGCCACCGCGCCCAGCCAAATTATTTTTTAAAAGAGCTCACCTCATTGTGTCAGATACTCACAGGATCTTTTGATCAATTTAAACTAGCTGATTAGGGACCTTACTTACATCTGCTAAATGTCTTCACCTTTGCCATTCAAGGTAACTTAATCATGGTGATATTCCATTATAGTCAGAGTTCTCCCCTGCACTCAATGGAAGGGGATTCCTATCAGGGAGTATGAATTGTGAGGCTCATCTTAGAATTCTGTCTACCAAAGCTATAATTTTATTATAATTTTATAATTATTACTAAATATTAACTGGAGTGTTTATTTAAAATGAGTCTGAGCCAGGTGAGGTGGCCCGTGTTTGTAATCCCACCACTGTGGGAAGCAGAAGCAGGTGGGTCACTTGAGCCCAGGAGTTCAAGACCAGGTTGGGCAACATGACAAAACCCCATCTCTTCAAAAAATACCAAAGTTAGCTGAGCGTGGTGAGGTGCACCTGTACTCCCAACTACTTAGGAGGCTGAAGTGGAAGAGTCATTTGAGCCTGGGAGGTTGAGGCTGCAGTGAGCTGAGATGACACCACTGTACTCCAGCCTGGGTGACAGAGTGAGGATCCTGTCTCAAAATGAAATGACATAAAATAAATGTCTGAGATTATGATTAGTTGTACCTTAACATTTCTTCAAGCACCTGCATTTTAAACTCTCATTGAGTATACCATTGAGAAAACAGTATTTTAATTTCTTGAGGATTTAGCACATCATCTAAACAATTTATTCAAGGTTGCTTTTTCCAGGTGTTTACATCATGGTGAAAAATAATAGCAGCAGTGAAAATACAAATACCACAAAGTTATAAAATATCCAAATACAGGCCTAAAAGACATTGCTTCTGGTATAGTTATAAGCTAAGCTGCAGAAGCATCTCTGAAAACTGTAACTGAAAAGTTATGAAGAAATTTAAGAAAAATAATGATCACTAGCACTCCTAGATGATGATTAACACACCTAGATTGCCAAGGGAGATTATTACCTACAAAATGATAAGATTTTTCATGTATACATACACACACAAACTGCTTGCAAAAAATACACTATTTGCAAAACAAAAGAAAAAAATGCGAAAGAATGTTTGTAATGGGTAGCTTTGATTTTGAAAGAAACAAAAAGCCTTTCCATGATTAACAAGATTACCTTAATCAAAATTAAAGAAATGACATAATGGTTAATTTATGGCTTGATTAAGGTATAGTAAGGGAGCAAACTATAGTAATATTTTGACAGAATATACTTGTAACGGAAATGGCTGCGCTTTAGTCAGGAGTAGACTGAGGTGGCCTTTTGGTGAAGTGTGACTCAGTGGGTTTGGAGCGCAGGCACACCACCCCCACATATTATGTAATCACTCCATGTAAGGCACATTAGGAAACCACTCACGCAAGCTCATACTCGGCTCAGAGCCACTATTGTCTGCAAAAGGTATAATTACCCTGCTGCCACTGTACCTATGGCTCACACCCAGGCTTGCACCCAGAGAGAGAATAAGCCATGTCAAAACTGCCTACGATTCCTCAAGTGTTTTTACAGTTACTCACCACTCACCCACTCACTCCCCTCAGACCTTAGCTTGGACTGGAACCTGACGCTTGGCATGATGATAATTTTCAAAAACAATTATCAAAACTATTGCATAATGGAGTCTTTCGATTTCTGATAAGTCCATAATATGTATGGCAATTAGTTCATTGTAGGCAAAAAAAAATTTAGGGCAAGAAAAACAACAATTATTTCAGAAACTCCTTCAGGAATAGGTGTATAGTAGAATTGATTGGATGAGATCTGTTCAACTGAATGAAGAGAATCAAATTATAGGAGTTAAATGAGTCAAGTTAAGAAATTTAGGAAAGTATATGCAGGTTAAAAAGTCCTTGAGGAAAAACAGAGCAAATAAGGAGAAAGAGGCAGGAGAGCTACAAAATAATTTACATTTTTGCTTCTACAAAATGAAATGGAATCTGACCAAATAGAACTAAAGTTTTAAGAGTGAGCTGCACATTCACCTCTCCTAGTAAACTTGGTAGTAGGTTCTTCATTTCATGGCAGTGATTTATAATGAGGGAAACTCTCAGGCAAATTGACTAACCCTTAATGATAGAACCTGGTTAAACCAGGCTCTTATTGGAGGAAAAACTCAGAAGTCTTCAGGGGCTTTCTGAATCAGATTAAAAGTGAGACCATTTAAATATGAGATCAAAAATAAGATTTATGGTATAATATAAAAGAGCTTAATTAAGTGTACATGCCGATGAGATTCCAGATACTGAGTGTGCTTATAATTGATGCCATTGATTTAGTCATGATCAGTACATTGAATTAAATACTCTAATTGCATATTATTTCACTGGTTCTTCTCTTAGACTTTGTTTCCTTAAGGAAACTTGTCCAGGGAAAAAAAAATGAGAGATCATTCTGTTGGTCACTATTGTAAACAGGTTTGGATTGTCATAATTACTCTTCCCAATATTTGCCAGGAAGAGGTGAGGGTAGCATAAAAAACACTAGGAAATCATCAGAAGAGAAAAAAAAATCCTTCTCAAAATCTAGTATCCTCTTTATTTTGTAAAACTTTTTTTTTTTTTTTTTTTGAGATAGAGTTTTGTTCATGTAGCCCAGGTTGGAGTGCAGTGGCACAATTTCAGCTCACTGCAACCTCAGCCTCCCGTGTTCAAGTGATTCTCCTGCCTCAAGCTTCCCAAGTAGCTGGGATTACAGGCATGCACCACCATGCCTGGCTAATTTTTGTATTTTTAGTAGAGATGGGATTTCACCATGTTGGCCACACTGGTCTGGAACTCCTGATCTCGGGTGATCCACCCACCTCGGCCTCCCAAAGTGCTGGAATTACAGACATCAGCCACCCTGTCTGGCCCTATTTTGTGAAGCTTCATACTGATGAAATTATTGATGCATCTTTATCACTGTGGTTGGCCGAATAATATCCTTCCTTGAAAGATGTCCACACACTAATCGCTTACACCTCTGACTATGTTATCTTATATGGCAAATTGGATTTTGCAGATGTAATTAGGGTCAAGGACTTTCAGATGGAGATATTATCCTGTGGGTGGCACACAGATTATATTGTGGCTATCAATCAACTTAATCACATGAGTCTTTAAAAACAGTCTTTCCCTGGCTGTGGTAAGAGAAAGAGATGTGATGATGAAAGCAGACTTGGAGGGATGTGACATTGCTGGCTTTGAATTTGGAGGAAGGGGCCATCAGCCAAGGAGTGTGTGCAGCCTCTAGGAGTTGGAAGAAGCAACCAAACAGGTTCTTCTAGATGCTCCAGAGAAAAACTCCACCCTGCTGACACTTCTATTTTATCCAAACAGGACCTGTATCAGACTTCTAACCTACAAAACTGTAGGATACTAAATGTAGGTTGTTTTAGGCATTAATCTTGTGGCAATTTGTTACAGCAGCAATAGAATACTACTATAATTACTAACGGAAATTTAGCAAAAACCATTCTATGTTAGTAAAAAGTAGTTCCTTCAGAACTACTCCTTCAGAGGAGCAAACAAAAATGCAGGAAATAAGGAAGAGTGAAAGAAAGCCAATTATTGCTCCCATCTGTTCTTCCTTTCAACCAGTTCCCACTACAACACCTCTATTAGGTTAATTGCCCTCTCAGGACACTTAGGAAGTATAGAGCTGTAAGGTGTAACAGTGAGGAAATCCTAAGCTGAATAATTCAATAAATCTGAGTTTGAATTCTACCTTTGTCACATAGAGGACTTGTGGTATTGAGCAGAGTATTCAAAAAGCCTGATCCTGAGTTTCTTTATCTCCATGATGAAGATAATTATCCCCATAAGGGTTGTCAAAATAATCAAATGAGCTAATATTTAAATAATGGCTAGTGCATAGTATATCCTAACTGAATGAATTTTAGCCTCTTATTATCACTTTTTCTAGTGAGTTACATTAAACCATAAAGAAGTTATATGAGTAGCATAAAGTTCACATTAAGAAAACCACAGGAGAAAGACTAAATTTCCAGGACTCCAGCCTCTAATTATTTTTTTCACTATTGCCTGCAGCCTCTATTGGTCAAAATATGTGTTATTATATTACAGAGTTCTGGCTGGGCACGGTGGCTCATGCCTGTAATCTCAGCACTTTGGGAGGCCGAGGCGGGCAGATCACCTGAAGTCAGGAGTTTGAGATCAGCCTGGCTAACATGGTGAAACCCCGTCTATACTAAAAATACAAAAACTATCCAGGCGTGGTTGCACACACCTGTGATCCCAGCTACTGGTGAGGCTGAGGCAGGAGAATCGCTTGAACCTAGGAGGCAGAGGTTGCAGGGAGCCAAGATTGCGCCACTGCACTCCAGCCTGGGCAACAGAGCAAGACTGTTTCAAACAAACAAACAAAAAACAACGAGAGTGCCTCAAATTGCCATCTTAAGTGTAAAAATTCACAAAATATTTAATTACATTTATAGGAACAAAATGAACTTGTCTTTATCTATGGGCATACCTTAAAATTATCTTTTACTAACTCTTCCACTAACTCAAAGAGTAAAACAGTATAAGTCAATTTTCGTATTAACCTCTTTAGATCCTTGTTCTTTGTAATGGATATAATCAATAAATATAGACTTAGAAATGAATCAGTTATACGATAAATAACTGACCTTCATACTATCACTGATCTTTCAAAATAACATTTAATAATTCTTAAGCCACAAATATTAATTTACTGACATATATATTAATGCAATCTCAGCATGCTGGATAATCTGTTTTCCAGATAGGAACATGTGGCAAGTAAGCATTACATTTTCTACAAGACAGGCTAGATTCTAAAATCAACATGTAAAGCAAAATAGAGGGAGTTGTTTAATAACATCAAAAGTGCAAGACCTGTCCTGGGAGTCTCCCTAATTAATCATCTCATCCCATATTCCTTATTAAAACTTTAAATGAATTAAGTGTTTGGCTCACTGATATGTGGGATGCACCCAAAGTAATTGAATGTGGTAATTGAAAATTTGTTAAACCTGTCACTGTACATCATTATCAGCTTTAAATCCAACAGAGAACAATTAGCTTACAATAGTTATAGTTGAATCAAGTCCACTTTATGGTTGAGTGAGTAATGCACATTCATCAGTAAATTAAATTAGACTCCAAGTAGATGAACAGGATAAAGGTTGCATGTGTGAATGGTGTAAATAAAGTAAAACATAGGATTTATGGAGTGCTAAACCTATTTCCAGAAGCAATGTGGGCTAAATAGCCTTCATTACAGCCTCTTAACCAGCAGACAGGTCATGGATCAAGCAAGAGTCTGAAAATAAAAATCTACTTAACTCTAGCCCCTGGCTTATGATTGATGTGTTAAAAGTAAATAAGCAGATGTGTAAATATTAATAGATAGCAGATAGCATCATCTTCCCATTGCCACACAAGACTACTACAATTTATAAAAGCAGAAAACTAACAAACTCTATTGTCCGTTATATTTTACAGGAGAAGGCTTTGGGGTAAGAATGCCCCATTATGCTCTCTCAACTGACTAGTATTTTTAATTAAAAGTTACGGTTATGCTCATTAACAAAAATTTTACTGCAGAGTTTCTGCAATGATGGAAAATATTTGAAATATTTGGTAAGGATACATTTATTTGGCAAGAAAATTAAAGTTACATTGGTCTATAATGGTGTATTTTTATACACACTCATAAAAGGTTTTAGGTGCAGACATATGTTCTGTTGAATGACTTGGAATTGAAATAAATATGATGCTGAAAAACATAACAAACAGATACTTGTGTTACTGATGTGTTTGAGAAGCTCAGAAATAACAAACATTGGATAATTGTGTAAATGCCAGATATAACTCAGTTGCAATATCCTACAACTCTGAAAATGTGTATGCTTTGATCCAAGGGTCATCTAAATTTTAGGTTATAGACATAAAATGTACACATTTATGCTGTTTAGGGCTAAAAATTTGATTAATTTAAAACTAGCAGTAAAACATAGAAGTGGACCTTAATGTTTATATTTCCTACCAAGGTTACCTCCCCACCAGTATTATGGTATCTGAGAAATCAAATTAGTAATTTTAATTTTTTCTGGTCAGTATGTTTATAGTCTCAATGAATGTTTTATTGCATTCAAGCTGAGTAAAAAACATATGGGTGCCTTTGAGTTTCTAGAGATAGACTGCTATCTCTCTTAGAAAATATATTTAGGAAAATATTAACTATTGAGAAGTTTTTATTTCTCCCAGCTGCTCCCACCACCATTTTCTAGATTTCTTGAATTAATTTTCAACATATTTTCATCACATGACACGTTATAGCATTTTCAACAATTACCTTCTCCATTGATCATTTCCTGTTGCCTTATAGCCAGCCTCCTAAATCGCAACAATAATGTCTACAACTCTGAGGACAGAACTGATTACTTCTGGAAAACCTTCCTGAAGATAGCTAATCTTGGCCTTCTAAGTTCTTGTTGCTTGCAATAATAACATGGCAGCTCTTGGTAAGTGTCCTGGTGTATTTTTGATTTGTACTTTAGGCATGTTTTTAGGGTCTTCCAGTGACAGTTGAGCTAATAACTCCATGGCCTATGGATTTCCAAAGAAATGTATAATATTTAATTGTCATTTTTATTTATTGATAAAAAGGTATCCCTTTTATAAGAGATTTGGTTCTGAATAGTTTATATAGAAGGTAGAAAGTATGTCTTAGGTTGATTCAGAACTTATATTTCTATATAATAATGTCTGCCATTTTTTATTTTAAGCATTTCCCCTAAAAATTTTAAAAGTAGACATAGTTTTAAAGGGAATTTCATTACTTTGGGGCTACAAACCTGAATATGCTTTTCTTTTTCCCATGATTAATTAAGACCCATAATCTCACCTGATCTCAAGTTGTCTTTGGTTTACTGGCATTTGGAGTCTTGTTTCCATCTGGGTTATAACCTTTCATTGGCGTCTTTATGATAGACGTGTTGGGAATGTAGGAGAACCTTAAATCCATCCAGTGGGCTTAAGTTGCTGTTGATACTTTTTTTCCTCTATAAAATGAAATCAATACCTTATGTGAAAAATATTTGGAACATTCTACAATATAGATTTTTTAAAATTAAAGATTGTGTAGTTGACTGAAACTATATAATCCTTGTTCTAGTGAGCCAAATGCTAAATTCTAAGCCTTACCTAAATGGTTCAAAAGGTTTTAAACACCAAAATAATATACATTATTTTCATTTAAGTATCCCCTGTGTGTATGGCACTGTACAATGTTCTTTGGGTGGAGAATGCAAAATAAATAGAAGATGGATCCTACCATTGAGAAATCATTATGCACATGTATGAAATGAAAAGCCAATCAGTAAAAACTACCTATACATTAGTTCCGTGTGGTATGGTTTCAAGTCAGGTGAAGTCCTTAAGGGTTATAGGATACAAATACATAACGTCAAAAAAGCACAACCACCTTCATCACATCAAAGACCCTCTAGGCCAGCACATAGACAATAATAAGATGCAAGAAAAGACAAGCACTATAATAGAAATTCAAGCCAGACAGTTTCCCTCAGTCTTTAGCACTGGAAAACTACCCGCATTATGAGTGAGGCTGCAGGAGCTAAAAACAGACGCTCAACATTCATACAAAACTGAAACTTCAATATCATAGCAAACCAGGGAATAGTCTAAATGGTTTTAAGTGATTAAAAAAAAAACTAAGTTGGTTTTGATCTGCAGTTTTTCTTCCAAGTAGTCTTTCATAAATTAAAAAAAAAAAAACAACACAGTAAACTTTAAAAAAGATTCAGTAAACTTCTGTATCCCAACCAGTAAAGAATCCAAAATAAATACTTTTCCTTTTTTGTCTTATTATAGATCTATTCACCTATATCCCTCTATACAGGCATCAATTTACCTATATTTTAATGAATTTCCAAATAAGTTTCAGACATCAGTATGCTTCCTACCTAAACACTTTTATATAATTAGTTTACATTTTTTAGGTTAAATGTACCTGCTATACTGTGCCATTAAATTAATTTTGACACATGCATAACCTGTATAACCTAAACCCCCATTTTTAAAATATTCACTCTTAGTACTTAATGTAACATATCAAGAGGTTGAATACTACCTCACCCAAGAAAGTTTCCTCATGCCCCATCCCACTTAGTTCCTACCCCTAGACCTCCAAGAGACAACCACTCTGAAATTTGTTTCCACCAAAGATTAGTTTACCTGCTCTATAACATCATAAAAATGTAATTATATAGTATGAACATTTTACTTAAAGCTTCTTTCACACAGTATTTTTTAAGATTCATCCATGTTGTTGCACGTTTTTTTTTTCATTTTTATCACTAAATACTACCGCATCATATGAATACACCATAATCTGTTTATTCATTAATGTATTAATAAACATTTTCAGCTTTGGATTTTTATGAATACAGTTCCAAATAACATTCCTATATAAGCCTTTCTGTGCATATATCTTTTGATTTCTCTTGGAATGAAACCAATGAATCATAGAATAAGTGTATATTTAGTTTTATAAGAAAATATTGTATACTCCCAACAACAATGAATCAGATTTCCAGGTGCCCTACACCCTCACTAACATTATCCAGCTCTCCCTCTCTCTCTGTCTTTCTCTCTATATATATACATATATATGGACATACATATATGTACAAGTATGTATATATATGTACATATATATGGAGAGATTTTATATACACATATACATAAAACTTTAGACATTCAAGTGCATATATATGTAGTCGTATCTCTCTGATTTTAATTTGTACCATCTAATGACTGTATTAGTGTAGATTCAAACAGGAGATAGACACCACACATTGGGTTAGACTACAGAAGTTTAATATAAAGAATAATAAAACTATGATAAAAGAATAACTACAACATTTGAGAAAACTCTCTATGGTACCCCAAGATGGAAAGTAAGTACCACAGGAAAGACAAATTTGGTAGGGGGCTTCCTTCCCAAGGCTGGTGTGATGGTTCATACTGAGTGTCACCTTGACTGGATGGAAGGATGCAAAGTATTGATCCTGGATGTGTCAGTGAAGGTGTTGCCAAAGGAGATTAAGAGTTGAGTCAGTGCACTGGGAAAGGCAGACCCACCCTTAATCTGGGTGGGCACAATCTAATCAGCTGCCAGCACGCCCAGAATAAAAGCAGGCAGAAGAACATGGAGAGATCAGACTGGCTTAGCCTCCCAGCCTACATATCTATCCCATGCTGGATGCTTCCTGCCCTCAAACACTGGACTCCAAGTTCTTCAGCTTTGAGACTCGGACTGGTTTCCTTGCTCCTCAGCTTGCAGATGGCCTATTGTGGGACCTTGTGATCGTGTGAGTTAATACTCACTCCTTAATCAACTCCCCTTTTTATATACATTTATCCTATTAGTTCTGTCCCTCTAGAGAACCCTGACTAATACAGCTGGGGTTCAGATCTTGCTAGAGGAGTTATAATTTAGCCTGCTAAAGAGTGGAAAGTTGTTTTTTCCATACTAAAGCTGATCTGCACAACTGGGTCAGTACAATGTAGCCTTCCAGAGTGCAAGTGGGGAACAGGCCATCAGTAACCAGGGCAAGCAGAGGAGGTGGGGATTTTCCAGGCCCCAGGCCAGACATGTTGGTCTGGCAGAGGGATCAGCATCCAGAAGGGATCCTCTGGGCCTCAGGGACCACTCTGGTACCTGCAGAAGGAATCAGGGCAGCTGTGCCAGCAGAAGGTCTTTAGAGCACTGGTTTCTCTATTTAGGGTCATGGAAAGGTTATCATCAGTCCAGACTGAGACTTCAAGGTGTCTGTGGATCCATGCACTCTGGGCCTGTGGTTGTGGCAGAGCTCCACTGGATGTCATCCCAGCCACACCACCCTACCCACATTTCAGCCATCAGCACCTGCAGGAGACCCTCTTGTTCCTACGGTGCTCCCACAGTACCCTTTAATGAGAAAGCTTAACAATGTGCTCACTTTAAAGGAAAAATGCTTACAGGAAGCCCATAATCACAAAGCATATGTTGAAGAGTGAATTTGGAGGTGAATAGCAATACAAATACAAACGAACAAAAGTAGATTTAAAAGTTGAGATAATTTACCCAAGATCATACAAGGGGTAAAGTAATTTAACATTTTAACTCTTGGAGTCTAACCCTTCAGAACTATGCTGTCCTGTCTCTCAAAACAGTGTGAGCATTTTATATTTTAAGCACGTACCCAAAATATCAGCAATACTTTTAATCTCTATATTTTCAGTTCTTCCATTAGAGATGGAATCATGGATGATTTTTATTTTGTGTTTTATTTTCTAAGTTTTTGAAAATAACATGTATAATCATTATGATACAGCGAGTAGTTTTTCTTTGTTGTCGTAATGATTTAAGATACAGTTTCTGTTCATCTTGATTCATATATAATTGTCTTAAATGTAGAACTCATGGAAATTTGCCCAAGAATATGACCTTACTCTCTTTACAGCCCAATTGTCATCAAAACTTCAGCTTGTTGAAATTCTTATCCTTAAAGATTTATATTTAATTTACTTTTCTAGGTAGGCTAAATTTCAGATTAGACAAGACTCTCAGAGAACCATGTGCTAGGAACTAGATGTCCTTTATATGATTGTTTTTACAAAAATGAAATTTGGAATTTTTCCATCAACTTTATATTGAGACATAAGGAAGTAATCTTACAAAATATATGTCTGCATTTAGTTTAGATTGTAGTTTATAGCTTGCCTACTATACTACACCTTGTATATATGGGTGTATGTGTGTGTATGTGTGCTATTCAACTTCACCTGATAGTATGGTTTAATGCTAACCACATTAGTTAGTTTAAATTTCTTCCAGATTTAAATATTCTGGGTTACTCTAAAGCAAATTATCCTATTTGTTTGCTTTTCTCTTGTTCTAGATACTGGAGATCTTACAACTGATCATTATTCTCTTTCTGGGTTTGTTACTTGAAAACTCAGGGCCAAGTTGGGATGCCCGTTTAGTAATACCGTAGGCTCTGTGGTATGGTTTCCATAAACTACCAGATCTATTGTATTTTTGCATTCTTATTTTTATTTTGTTACCAATTTATTTCTTTAGCTGTATTTCCCGATTGTATTATATTCCTATAACATATATAAAATTCCTTTAGGAGGAAATCAAGGGGTGTGCGTGTGTGTGTGTGTGTGTGTGTGTGTGTGTGTGTGTGTGTGCATGTGTGTGTGTGTGCACGCGTGCAGTATTAAACTTTACCTGATGGTATTTACCCACATTTTTTTCCTGAAATATATTTTACAATTATCTAAAACAGTGCTTATTTCCACAGTAAATGGTATTTCTTTTACCACATGTGAGGTTAAATTTCAAACATCAATATTTAGTGACCTCAAGGGTCATCTGAACCATCCTTATATCTCTAGAGAGTATTACATTCAAATTATTACAGATCAATGGCCAATTATTTTGCTGAAGTTTATATTTTGATAAAGAATGCTGCATACTTAGCTTTTCAAATGGACACTCACCCATGGTTAGTAATGTCAAAACAAAATTATACCCGATGAAGTTAAAAAGACAAGGAAGATTTTATGCAAGTTTATTGCAATAGGAGTTGAGACTACAGCAATAGGGAGAGAAACTGAACTCAAACTTGATCAAAAGGCAGAAGGGATTTTAAGTACTGAGATGAGCCAGTGGAAAACTACTGAAGAACTTTAGCGGGGTAGATTGGTCAATGTGATTAGGCCATATATATTTGCTAGTTAGCACTTATCAAAATTAGGCTCCTACCCTCCCACAAGGACTGGGAGAGAAGGGCACTATTATTGATGACATTTCAAAGGGATGGCTCCCAGGTCCTTGAAAAAGATATTCCTGGGTTGGACAATTGGCGAGAGGCTAGAAGAAGATTTATATCTCAAAGGGACAGACAAAGAATTTGCAATTATTAGTTTTCTAAAGTAAATGTTCTAAGGAAAGGGAGGTGGGGGCCTATAATCAGAAAGAAATCTGTCCAAAGTTTAGGCATGCTGTGGGGAACCTAAGGCCATCTTGGATAGTAGTAGTAGTAATAGTAGTAGTAGTAGCAGCAGTCAATCTAGGTAAACAAAGCAATATTAGTTTCACTATGTATTTAGACCAATAGGAGGAGGTAGCTTGGTCTTTTTTAAGCTATATTTTAATATTTAAAGCACATAATTTAATGATAGTACAGTATTTAACACATGTGGTATAGTCCACATTTCTCTGTATCTGTCCTGTCCTCTTCCCTAGTGAATATCTCCTATTCTAATCATTGCTGAGAATTTCCTGGGCCCATTCTCAATCATCACTGCTCACAGTTAGTCTCAGGTAACCACTGAATTTTGAAGCTTCAGTTGCTAAAGCTACCTAAATTGACAATTTCATACCCAAGACACTCATGTAAACCTCACAAGGTTGTGAGAAATGAATGTGATAATGTATGTAAAAGCACATGGCACAGTCACTGGAAAACTGTAGTTAAGGGATGGTTTTCATTGATTCAATGCATTTATTTCACTTCTTACTAGCCTTGTCACTCTTCTTTCCCTTCCTTGTTCCAGGCTTCTGGCTCCTTGTCTCTCACCCTTACCTGTGGGAGTGTAACGCCCCTGCTAAGAGCAGCACGCACATCTCTGAGCTCATGGACCCAGCAGTATCAATGCCTTTGCTCTCTGAATCTGCTCTTAGTCCTACCCATCACACATGCACATTCCAGTTTTGATTCCTACTACAGCTTTGTATGCTGCTTAGCACTGAGGGAAGCAAGGCAGACCAGCCCCATCAGCTACAACAGTAGAATCATCCGTGGCATCCACAAATTGATATAGGTGTAGTCGGTTCTCTGGCACATCACACACCTGAACAAACACTCACAGAATGTTCTGAATATTATGTTTCTGACCAAGTGAAGATAAAGGAAGGACCAAAAGCGACAGAAAAAGCTACAAGGTCAAAAAAAAAAAGAGATACAAAGGCAAATGGAAAAATACAATGATCATTACTTTAAGTATTAAAAGTAGGAGAAAGCATTTGTTTGTTTTTTATTTTGTTTTCAAGAACTCAAGGATTAGAGAGTTACAGCATGAAAAAGAGCTGAGGGATAGTACTAGGTGACAAGCTGCCTTGGGGAAACACTGGAGAAGAGACATTCTGGTGTGAAGAGACTATAAAGCTCCTAACAATAGGAGGAGCTCCATCTAACTTGCTTTTATTTTCTTCTTTCTTCAGGTCTCCACTTCTACATTCATGTAATGGCAAAATAACTCAATCCTTGGTTTTCTGATTAAAGTGAGACCATTGAGAACATTTTTGTCTTGTCTAAATCTCTTCTACTCTCTCCTGTTCTTCTACCTATTCTCTCAACTTACATCCCGTTTCAGAGTAATATCTTCCTTAATTATTTTTAGAATATTCCTTTAAGCCTTCTTAAACTTTCATTCTTTTTATTTTTCATCAGTTTCCTGTCCTTGTAATTAACATCCTTTCTCTTCAGAAGCAAGATCTAGTATGTGTCCAGTGGAGTAAAGAATGTTTCAGTCTAATACATAAACAACCCTATTGTAAATATTTGGGAAACTATATTACGATCTTGCATAATATATACTAAGAAAAATTTAATATATGTAGAATAAAAGAGATGGAATAAAAAGAGTAAATGCTAAGTACAAGGGAACATTGTCACATTTCTCATGCTCTCTCTGCCATGACGATAACTTCATGAATGTATTTATAATGAAGGATGGACTGAATAATGACCCAAATAAAATTTTAATTTTCTTTCATTTTAAGTCTATTGAGTAGTTTTTATGCTCAGCCCTTAAAAAGGATAAAACAGTGCTTTCCATTATTCACAAAAGAATTACATTTGTGTGAATGCTATTTTGCAATTATTCTATAGACCTCTGCTGTGACACTCAAGGAGTTTCAAATAGTCAATACAAAATGGGATTTTGAATGTTGAGGAAGTCATATAACAATAAGCAGGGTTGGTTCAGAAAGAATATTCATTACTGGGAGACATTGAAAATGTGTTTATGGAAGAATTGATCACAGAGTCAAAACTGGTATTTTTCAGTGGAATTGGTACATTTTTCCCATTAAACTTTTAATGACTCGGATCCGAAGCATATTTAATTCATGGATCACTGCTGCAGTATTGTGTCAACATGTACTTAGGGAGTCTTCAATGTATGGATCACTGCAGTGATAGACTGTAATGGCCCCTCGTCTATCAAGTTAACACATATTATCATAGAACACTAATACAGGGGTTATTGATAAGATATTTCATAGCTTATACCTTATAAGAAAGTGTTGTCAGCCCCCTAAGATTATCAGTAGTAAAAGTAACAAAAAAACAGAATTACTAAGACTTTTTAGAAAAATAGTATTTACAAAACATAAGCTTTCTCCAATTTCACTCTATGCTTAGATGATCATTTCATTTTAACATTGATTATTTACTAAATTCTATTTTAGTTTATTCATTTACTTATTTATTTATTCGAGACAGGGTCTCCCTCTGTCACCCACGCTGGAGTGAAGTGATGCAATCTCAGCTCATATTTATTTATTTATTTGAGACAGGGTCTCCCTCTGTCACCCAGGCTGGAGTACAGTGATGCCATCTCAGCTCACAGCAACCTCCGCATCCGGCACTCAAGTGATCCTCCCACCTCAGCTGCCTGAGTAGCTGGGACTACAGACATGCCCCACCATGCCTGGCTAATTTTTGTATTTTTTGTAGAGATGGGATTTTGCCATGTTGTCCAAGTTGGTCTTGAACTCTTGGACTTAGGCAATCCACCTGCCTCATCCTCCCAAAGTGCTGGGATTATAGGCGTGCGCCACTGTGCCCAACCCCTAAACTCTATTTGATTGCAAGGTATATTCAGCTCTGCTGCATCTTTTGTACATTAATATGGGTCATTTTCTTAGACTGCTTCATAGGAATAACATCACTTATATGAGGCTCAATAACTAGGAAGTGGGAACTCTGGTGAATTAAACAACTCTGATGAATTAAACAAGGAGACTGTAGGTGGTATACCGAGTTTGACGCCTCCCCTCCCTTAGGCAATGGCAAGATATACACTTTACATTTAGTCAAGAGTTTTTGCTGGCATATGGTAATTATTAACAGACATTACTGAGCATCTTTCTTTCTATAAGAAAAGTACAACAAAGACTCTATTTGATAATGCATATGGTACATTTTAAATTCTCCATAAAATTAAGTTCAGCCTGTCCTCAGTTGATAGTTATTCCAAGAATAATTTTTGCATTATTAAAAATGTCAAACAATAGCCGTAAGGAAAGATATGTACATGACAATATATACCAACCACTCTTTCCATTTGTTTTCACTTCCATCTGACTTCTACTTCAAAGTTATAAGACAAAATCTATATTTATTACTTGTATTTGTTAATAAATAAAAATGGAACAATAAAAAATGAACAAACAACTGATTCATACAATAACACAGATGAATCTAAAATGCCTTTTTAAGTGAAATAAGTCAGACAAAACATCTACATATTATACGAGTCTTTGTAAGTGACATTCTGGAAAAGGATGACTGACAGCTCAATGGTTGCTAGAGAGAGTGGAAGGAAAAGCCAGGGGACAAAGGAGCAGTATGAGAAAAATTTGGGAGTGACCGAATAATTCTGTACATTATTTTGGTGGTGGAAACATAACTCTGGATTTCCCAAAAACCATGGGACCTCCAAAAGATTGATAAATAAAATTGGTAGATGGCATTTAACCAAGTGATCAAGAGTAACATCACCAGTAATAACATATATCCATATCATGTATCCCTGATATAATGTGCTGAGAAGTGATAGCCATGCTAAGAATTCATAACTTCAACCTAATCATAAGAATATATCAGACAAATCTAAATCAAGTAATATTCTACAAAATATTGTCCAGTACTCTTAAAAATGTCAAGGTAATGAAAGACAAGGAAAGCCAGAGGAACTGTCACAGATTAGAGGAGCCTCAGGAGATATGCGACTAAATGCAATGTTGGATCCTGGACTGGACCCTGGAACAAAATAAGGACATTAGTGGATAAATTACGAAAGCCAAGTAAAGTCTGTAATTTAGTAATTAGCACGTATCACTGTTAATTTCCTAGTTTTGATAAACTTTACCATGGCTATGTAAGATATTAACATTAGGAGAAGAAACAAAATGGTGTGAAGGATATATTATCTTTGCAACTCCTCTGTAATTCTATAATTATTCAAAAATAAATTGTTTTTAAAAATCTAATGAAAGGACATGCCATACTGCAGGGGCTATATTCTCATGTGCATCAAGTTGCCATGAAGCTAGGAGAAACCAATAGTCACAAAACGTGACATTGTTTTCACCAAAAAGATACTAATAATGTGATTTGGATTAAATACTGTCTAACCCCATCTTTTTCATTCTCTTATAAGACTTTAGAATTAGAACCTGTTTTCTGGGTTATGTTTCTAAAAGCAACTAGGAAAATCAACTGCACTAGTTATTGTTATTGTTTTAACCTCAGCATAAACAGATGATCGGCCAGTTGATATAAGCAGAAATCATAAGACACAATTAACCCTCTCTAAATTATTCCTCTCAAAGTCTAGTCCATGTTTCTATTCCCAGAGAGAATCATGGATTCACAGAATGCTTGTGATATGGGAGACCTTAGAGAAATTATTCAAATCAGAGGTTGTCAACTGTTTTGAGTACAAAAATTCCTCAATGTTTGACAGTCGCCCAGAAGACAAGAATGAGGCCACATGAGCTTTATTCAAATCCTTAATGCCCCAGCTGCTGCCAGATTTTTACTTAAGTTTCTTCTGTTTGTCCATTTATACTCTCCGGAAATTTTTGTTCAAATAAATAATTCTAAGCCTGAAAGATTTTTAAACCATCGCTCTATGTCAAGCTTTTTGTTTAAAAAGAAAGAATATGAGGTAAAGATGTGAGGTGACTTGTCCATGGTCATACAATGTTTTAATGGTAAAGTTCAGACACTAGAACTCTCAAATTTTGGTGCCCTATTTCTTTTTCTAGAGCCCATATTCTAACTTATCTTACCTCTACAATGTGGTAACTGTGACTTTTAGAGAAATCTCCTTAAACTAAAGAGTGTCTCAGGTCAATTAAGTAAAGAAATGTTCAAACTTGAGACCATTGTACAGGGTAACTGATTATTCTCACCTAATTGCAATGGTAATCAATGCCTGCATTAATCATTGACACATAGATCTATATAGCTATACAGAGACATACTCACAAAATTGGTTAAGAGCTTTAACAGTTTTATATGTGTGTCCTGCGCCTCTTCCTAGGAAATGGAAAATTGTGCCTGAGAAAATGAATTCTTGGTCTGAGTTAAAGTTCTATTAGAAAAATACGTTGTTTCTCCACAATCCTAGTCCCTTAAATTATATGAAATTTTAACTCCCAAATATCTTTTATGCTCAAGAATGAAACCAGCCAATATTTTAATGGCAACAACTAATCTCAGAATTTTCATATTTCCTGAAGGATGGGCTTAGTAGAAAAAGAGAACAATAGCTGGTGACAGCCAGGAGCTGGCCAGTGCTATTCACTGGGCTTTGATGTACAAGGAGTTGGACTAGCACTTGTGGCTACGCCACGGTATTCTCATGTTGAATATAAACAATTTCACACAACTCCAACGTGAGATAAGACCACTCTGTTTCACTGATGGTCTTGTTTCTTCGCAAAACAAGACCACTGAACTATTTTGTCTGATGACAGATACAACATACACATTTCCAACCTTAAAAAAAATGATAAAACATCTGTTCATCCTGGCTAATGTGAATAACTGCTGCTTCTTACCAAACAGACTTGCTTCATTCTTTTTAGTTTTCTAGGTAAGAATTGCTAAGATGCACACGTAGAGTTACCCCTGCTTTCTAATGGCATCCCGTCCAGAGCCAACCCTGCTTCCTAGAATCCTTCCCCAAAGCACCTAACAGAAGCCAAAATTCTGCAAGGAGTCCTCTCTTACTGAGACACTCCACGGTTCCCCATAGCGCATGTTCTCCCTGCTGCAGTAAGTCGAATAAACCCAACTCTTGAGTGACAGGTGTGTTCCTGGTGACCTTTGGCTGAAAGGCATTGACAACAGTGTCAGAAGAAGCAAATTCACATGCAATTTACCTATATAATAAACCTGCACATGTATGTACCTTTGAACTTAACACAAAAGTTAAAAAAACAAAACAGAAGGAAGTTCATACCCTTCTTGGAATGACAAGTACGTAACTGGCTAAAGGCCATTTTGAATGTCAGCCCTTCTCTTCCCAACACCCTCCCCATCTCCATATGAGAAACAAAACAAACAAAACAAAACAAAACAAAAAACAGGCACACTGGCTCAGGACTGTAATCTCAGCACTTTGGGAGGCCGAAGCAGAGAGATGACTTGAGGTCAGGAGTTTGAGACCAGCCTGGCCAACATGGTGAAACCCCGTCTCTACTAAAAATACAAAAATTAGCTGGCCATGGTGGCATGCACCTGTAATCCCAGCTACTCAGGAGACTGAGGCAGGAGAATCACTTGAACCCGGGAGGTGGAGGTTGCAGTGAGCCAAATCATACCACTGCACCCCAGCCTGGGCAACAGAGTGAAACTGAGTCAAAAAAAAAAAAGCAAAAAAAAAAAAAAAGCTAACAAGAAGAAACTGGTTATCTCAGGAGTCAAAGTCTGTAGGTTCTGTCACCTCATAAGCAGTCCCTGACCTCTGCTTTCCCTGTCTTGACCACTTGAGAGGCTGGGTGCTAGCCTACAGTGACTGTGTTACAGGGACAGGAAAGACCCAAGCCAGAGAGGTATCTGTTTGCTTTGTGCTTGTCCTAGCCTCCCATATAGCTATGCCATCACTGAAGGAGAAAACTTCTTCTCGTGGCACACTGGACTAGTAGGCCCTTGAAACTACCCAAATCATCATTTCAAGTCCAATAATGACTTACTGTTTGACCTTGCATTTTGCAAACCAGCTGAGGGTCTACAAACAACAGAGGGTGAGCCCTCAAGGTAGATTGCTGGTTAAATAAAAATCTAAACTTGCCTAAGGTTATCACTACATACTTCAATGATAGTCTCCTGCTTGGTCTTCCAGAACAGACTAAACTGTCCTGTTTTGATAACTTAGCCTCTTCTAACAATCTCTATTTAAAGCTAGCCACATTTATTCACTTACTGGCAAGCTATGCAGAGGAACATTGCCAAATTCAATCTGTTAAGACAGCTGTGCTATACTACTGTCCCCTCCTCACAACTCTGTTATTCCAGAATGTTTTTATCCATACTTTCTATTGAATATTCTGAAGTATATTTGGTCTATAAAGTAGAGGAGAAGATGCAGAAATCACCCACCTTCTACATTGATCTCACTGGGAGCTGCAGACTAGAGCTGATCCTATTCAGCCATGTTGCCCGGGAACCCACATGGGGGCCTGTCAGGCGGCTGGGGGGTAGGGGAGGGAGAGCATTAGGAGAAATAGCTAATGTAGATGACAGGTTGATGGGTGCAGCAAACCACCATGGCGCATGTATATCTATGTAACAAACTTTCACTTTCTGTACATGGATCTCAGAACTTAAAGTATAATAATAAAAAAAAAAAGTAGAGGAGAAGAGGCAACCTTTTTTCTCGATCAATTCATGAAAGTGATTTATTATCATATATTAGGGATCAGGTAAATTATTTAAAAAATGTCACCATCAAAACATTTTGTTCTTCTTTTTCATGTATATTTGCATTTAGGAAAGTGAGAAATTCCTTTCTCCATCTCCCTTTAACTATTTGTTTGGGTCCCCAAAATTTAGGAGAGGTACAAGAAATTAAATGAGAGAAAGGGACGTCAACATGAAAGGATATAAGATTTGCAAAGGTGGCAGCAAGCCATAGTAAGTTATTCAGAAATTCATTAATTCACTCCTCGAATGCTTAGATTAATTGCATCAAAATTAGTGTTTGCCTCTGGAACAACTAGGTGGTGATAAATTTATTAAATGTCTTTTATCCTGACAAATCCTAAATTGCCAAATGTTGCTTTATGTGTGTAAATATATGCAAAGTAATTCAAACTTTACTTTGAAAGCCTTCAACTTTATTTATCACTAAAATTGCCTGTCAGCCACAGAAGAGACAAGGATGTAATTTGTTCATGGTTGGAAATGAAGCCCAGGGACACGTGATTAACCTGGCTAAAGGCACCGGGGATTTTCTACATGCAGATCAACAGATTAATACTGATCTTTCATGATCCTTCAAATTATAGTTTGCCTTCTCCTAATTGTCTTCGTTGAAAATATTCTGTCTCTTACACATGACAAGAGCCAATTTATTAATTCTTCCATCTTAAACACGTGGGATCAAACAGATCTCTCAGTTTGGCACATATCTTAGAGGTGGTGGCCATATGCCACCAGATCTGTTATGTCATTTAATAGAATCTCAAAACTGCTTGTCCTTAAAAACTTAGAGAGGCTGTGCTATACACAAGCTTTGTAGGCTCAATAAACAGCATGTATGCATAGGGGTGAAGGAGGGAAGTTCCCCTTGGTTCTCTGAAGGTTCACTGGAAAATCAAGTTGTAAAAAGCAGATTAGTTGGATAAAAGGCATACAAATTTATTTAACATGTATTCATGGGAGCTTTCAGGATGAAAACCCAAATAGACAGGGGAAATTGTCCATTTTTATGCTTAGGTTCAACAAAACATGGAAAGCTGTATAGAAATGTGATTGGACAAAAAGGTTGTGATGTAAAGCTAATAGACTGGGTAGGGAAAACCAGCAATGCCTGTCTGTCTAGATTCTTCTTGGCCTCTCTGAGCATCCATTGTTTTTCCTGGGTTAAGGTTAGGGTTAGGACCCACTCTGGAATGGGGTCTTATGACCTACAGTCAAACAAGGTAGCTCAGATATTTTCCTTATGGGCAGTTTTTACATAGAAAGGTGGAAGAAAAGAGTAATTTTTTGTGTTTTTTGTTTTGTTTTGTTTTGTTTTGTTTTTGAGACGGAGTTTCATTCTTGTCACCCAGGCTGGAGTGCAACAGCATGATCTCAGTTTACTGCAACCTCCACCTCCCAGGTTCAAGCGATTCTCCTGGCTCAGCCTCCCGAGTAGCTGGGATTACAGGCAACTGCTACGACACCCAGCTAATTTTTGTATTTTTAGTAGAGATGGGGTTTTGTCATGTTCGCCAGGCTGATCTCGAACTGCTGACCTCAGGTGATCCGCCTGCCTCAGCCTCCCAAAGTGCTGGGATTACAGGCATGAGCCACTGTGCCCAGCCAGGAAAGAGTAATATTTTTAAGTTTTATTGCTGGTTTGGGGAAAAAGGGATTCTAGTTTCTATGACATGCCTTGAGGAAAAGGGATTCTAGTTTCCATGGATAGCCTTAGGAGAGAATGGGACTAAGAGACAGGTGGGCTGGAGAAGGTCAGAGAAATACTTTTCTTCTGAGGCTGCTGCTGAGGGCTTCTTTCTGGGATATTGTTTTCTTAGACCCAATATATGCCCCATATATAATAATAATTTCTCACATATACTGAGAAAGTAACTTCTAAGCACTTACTTTGTTCTAAGCACTTTATATATAATAATTTACTTAATTCTTAGTGCAAACTTACAAGGTAAGTACCATTGTTGTGTTCATTTTTCAGATAAAGAAACTGAGGCATGAAATTCTTGGTTAGCTTGCCAAAGGCCACACAACTAATGAGTGGCAGAGTCATATCCATATTTAAATCCAGGCAGCACAGTTCCAAAGCCTTCATTTATGATGTTAGACTGTCTTTCTTACAGTAAACAAGTATTTTCCCAAAGTATGTAGATATTGCAATGACTGATCAAAAAACAAATTCAAGAGACACAGGTACTAATTCTCAGAAGCCAATGAATGTCAGCAGTATGACTGCTTTTATGTTGCAGTTTCTTGAAATTATCTTGGTCTTCAAAATGAAGTTTTAATTCTCAAACGTCTGGAAAATGTGGACCTAACACAATTCATCCAACTTGGTGAGCCTCTTCTTCACCTCTCAAGAACAATCAGAGGCTGAATTTTCCAAGAATAACAAGTGGGCTCTGGTTATTTCTGGAGAATAAGATCACCTGGGCTGGGTGCAGGAAAGAGACTATGAAAGCATGAACTCCTGGAAGTAGGGGCAACTCCAGAGGTGCACCTGACCTGACCATAAAGACAGAAGCAGAATCGGGATAGATGCATCACCAGGGCAGGGATCCACGGGTAACTAAACCAATGTCTGCACACCATGGGTCAACACTGAGATGAGAATTGTGTGTCACCATTCTAAGGCATCTAGCCATCAGATGTAGATTTAAGGCCTTTTATCCACACCCGCCTGCAAAGGCTTGGATCTTTGGATCCTCAGGAGAAGGATGTCCTACTAGAACTGTGAAAGCCACAGTCTGTGTACATGGCTGATAAGGCAGTGATGAGAACCAGTCCTCCATTATAACTACACGGCTATAATGCATTACTATTACCTTCAAAATACCTGACAATCTTGTTAGACAAACCTTTTCTGGGGCAACTAATAGCTAGAATAATGTTCTTATTCCCTTAAGTTTGTTTTAATTACTGTTTGTACATCTCTTTCCTATTTCCCAGAAATGCGGTAAAGACTTTATTGAGTATAATTAATAGAAAAACAATTATGTATGTGAAAACAAGAATGAAGATTCTCATTCAACACATGAAAAAGAATGATGGGTTTGAATTTTGATAGAGTGTTTACAACATGATTTTAATCACACCCCCAGCTTACAGACTCCAGCATACATGGGCAAAATGTATGTTTAACAGAGTAGGAGGAAGCATTTGCTACTACACCAGCTATAAGAGTATCCTAAACAAGTAATGGCCACCATGACTAGCACTGCTTGCATTCCAGTTGCGTTTTCTAATGTAGGCAAGGGTAATGGAATTGATGCACATGTTCTTTTTGCTTGCATCTTTTTTTTTCACTTATCATTAAGGTCCCTTATCATTTAGTCCAATCTTTGCCTGCTAACTAGTCTATGTACTGAAAATGATATGAATAACTAATCAGCCTAAAATGTTCTATGTAAGCCCATTTGTTTCATTCCTCTTTGGCTTTCTTGCTGGCTGAGCTTTTGTGACCTTGTGAAAAATGGCTGTTTTATCTGAAAATGTGTTTTATTTCTAGGTAATGGAGTATGTCAACTTCCATTTCTTATGGAATTCACAGACAATAGTCCAGCATAGCATTTCTTACATTCTTATGTGCTTGTTCTTTCCCACTATATACTTAAACACAATGGACATCCCAATCTTTACTTATAGCTCTTGACTTCAACACTTGGGTTTTCAATTTCTACAGGTTTTCTTTTACGTAGCACAGATATTTGCTATAGAACAGTCCATTTAGTCTTCCACTCATGTAGCTATGAAGAAAGTGCACCTATCTCTTGAGGCTTTCTCAGTTAAGTGAATTTGGCTCTATCTTCCCAGCTCTTAGTTCTTCCATTAGTGTTAGAGAAAACTTCAGTGAAATTTACTTGTATTCCCTCTAATAGAGGCACCTTTATTCTCATTTTATTGCTGAGAGTTTTAAAACTGGGTCTTCAGAGTTGTAATTATGAGTTTTTTCAGAAAATTCAGATTCAAGCTCTTATTGTTATTGTTATATTGATTAGTTGAATATAAGTCTGAAAGAGTTACATATATTGTTATCACTAATTAATCTGGCATAAACTATGATATTTTTATCACTGATAGAGTCATTTGGTTAGAAGTACCCCCACTGAAGTGGCTTAAAATGATTGATACATGATATGTCAAGATTCTTAGTGTTTTTTTTTTTTTTTTTTTGAGACGGAGTCTCACTCTGTTGCCAGGCGGGAGTGCAGTGGCGCGATCTCAGCTCACTGCAACCTCCGCCTCCCTGGTTCAAGTGATTCTCCTGCCTCAGCCTCCTGAGTAGCTGGGACTACAGGCAAGTGCCACCACGCCCAGCTAATTGTTGTATTTTTAGTAGAGACGGGGTTTCACCATGTTGGCCAGGATGGTCTTGATCTCTTGACCTTGTGATCCACCCACCTCGGCCTCCCAAAGTGCTGGGATTACAGGAGTGAGCCACCATGCCCGGCCAAGACTCTTAGTTTTCAATTGCAAGTTAGACTCGGTAAAACTTTTCTTTTTTTCCCTTTTTTTTTTTTTTTGAGATGGAGTCTTGCTCTGTCCCCAGGCTGGAGTGCAGTGGTGCAATCTCGGCTCACTGTAACCTCCACCTCCCTGGTTCAAGCGATTCTCCTGTCTCAGCCTCCCAAGTAGCTGGGACTACAGGTGGGTGCCACCACACCTGGCTAATTTTTTGTATGTTTAGTAGAGACAGGGTTTCACCGTGTTAGCCAGGATGATCTCGATCTCCTGACCTCGTGATCCACCCTCCTCAGCCTCCCAAAGTGCTGGGATTACAGGCGTGAGCCACCGCACCTGGCCCAAACTTTTCTTTTTTAAATGTCTGAATAAATGCATATTTTTTGGAGCCCATGGGGCTACAACAACATGGAGACAGGAATCTAGATCATTAGGAGATACAATAAAAATATTTTATTTTTCACTGTCACTCACTTTGTAAAAATAATTGCAGTTTTAAATTTCAATCTATCAGTCTCTCCGTGTGAGAGATGTTCTGTCTATGAAGTAGTCCCCATACTACTTTCTTTTAAAAGTAAATATTTGCTCAGCTAGATGATATTTAAATTAAAATAAAATGTTTAAAATGTTTGTTTCCTGTATGTATTTCTGGTCATTGAATCTCAAAGATGAAATAATTTTTAAAACTTATTTATAAATGAGGGAAACAGCCCCCAGTAACTAGCCTTTATTCTGCACATGTTAGTGACAGCACTAGACCAGATACTGAACTCCTGATTCCTGAACCCCGGTTCTTTAATATGTCACTTTGCTTCTGAAATCTCCAAGGGAGGGGGTGTATGTAAATTCCGACATTTACTTTAAATGACAATTTGAGTTTATAAAACATGGGCATTTCATCTGTGAGCAAAGAGTCACAGCTAACTTCTAAGTCGAAACTTCTATCATGGGATTATAGCAGAAAAAAGACTGTTTGTACAGAAACGGAGTCAAGGCATAAAGAAAACAAACTGTCTATCTTCCCCAAACCCAAACAAGCAAATACCTAATGCCAAAATTCATATGGTTTTTATGTTAATTACAATTTAATATTCACAGCAAGTCTTTTCCAGTTTCTTAGTGTGTGGCCTGCTCCACGCACTACAAAATCCACCATTTCCTGCTTTCTTATTTTGTGAACGATGTGTATCCACTTATCTGTAGCAAGGCATCTGTGTCCTATGGATTTGTCTCAAAAGATAAAGGAAACTGACATTTTGTTTTAGTCAAAGTTGTTTCAGATAGAATACTAAAGATTTAATACAGATTGTTTTATTTACTCCTCACTGTAATTTGTGACATAGCTATCATTCACTTTTAAAGACAAGAAAAATGAAACCGAAGGCTATATGGATGACATAATATATAATAGTAAAAATTTAGAAAATATTTTAAAGGTTAATAAACAAGTCAACTGTGGTAAGCTCACTTTTAGTGCATCCATTAAAAGGATGACTATAAAAAATAGAGTGACAAGAAAAAAAAAAGTATGAGCATATTATGTTAAAAAGAATATATGGAGGGAGAGGAGCAAGATGGTGGAATAGAAGGCTGCACCAATTGTCCCCCCACCAATAGGAACACTGAATTCAACAACTATCTACACAAAAGACAGCACCTTCATAAGAACCAAAATTTAACTGAGCACTCATAACACCTGGTTTTAACTTACTAAAAGAGGCACTGAAAATGGAAAGAAAAACAGTCTCGAATTGCTCAGGCCACCCATCCCCTATCTCCCAGCAGTGGCTGCATGGTGCAGAGAATCTGTGCAATTGGGGAGGGAGAACACAGTGATTATGAGACTCTGCATTGAACTCAGTACTACCTTGTCACAGTGGAAAGCAGAACCAAACTATATGTAGTTGATGCTTGCCCATGGAGGGAGCATCTGGAACAGCCCCAGCTGGAGGGGAATCACCTATCCCAGCGGTCAGAACTTGAGTTTTAGCAAGTTGCCACCACTGGCTGGAGTGCTCTGAGGCCATCAGTAAACATGAAGGGCAGTCTAGGACACAAGAACTGCAACTTTTTGGTGAGTTCTGGTGCTGTGTCGGGATGAGAGCCGGTGAACTTGGAAGGCACATGGCCTACTGAGACACAAGCTGGGGCAGCTAAGGGAGTGCTTGCACCACCCCTCTCCCAACCCCAGACTGCACAGTTCATGGCTCCAAAAGAGACCCCTTCTGACCCCTTCAGGAGAGAAGAGGAAGAGTAAAGGGGCCTTTTGTCTTGCATTTTGGATACCAGCTCAGCCAACAGAAAGCTAAGGCACTGGACAAAGTCATGAGGCCCCCATTCCTGATCTTAGCTCCTGGACAATCTTTCTAGACACACTGAACAAAAAGGGAACCTGCTACCTTGAAGGGAAGGACCTAGTTCTCGCAGGATCTATCACCTGCTAACTAAGGAGATCCTGGACCCTGAATAACCAGCAGCAATACCCAGGTAGTAGGCTGGGGGCCTTGGGTGAGACTCTAACATGTGATGGTTTCAGTTAAGACTCAGTACATTCCTAGTTCTGATGGCTATTACAAGAGATTCCATGTGCTTGAAAAAAGCAGAGAAAAAAGTAAGGGGACTTCATCTTGTACCTTAATTAGCAGCTTGACCACAGGGAAGTAGAGAACCAGGTGGACTCCTGGGGTCCCTGATTCCACGTCTTGGCTCTGGGATGGCATTTCTGGACCTGCACTGGGCCAGAAGGGAGCCCATCACTCTAAAGGGTGAGTCCCAGGCCTGGCAACATTAACCACAAGCTGATTGACGAGCCCATGGGCCTTAAGTGAACACTGGTGGAAGCCTGGCAATACTCCCCATGCACCTGTGGTAGTAATAGCCAAGGGATGAGGTTCCCCTGCCTATGAAAAGGGGAGGGAAGAGTGGGAAGGACTGGATCTCATAGTTTGAGAGCAAGCTCAGCAACAGTAAAATAGAATACCAGATAGATTTCTAAGGTTTTTGACTCCAGTCCCTAGCTCCTGGACAGCATCTCTAGATCCAGCTGGGATCTAGGAGAACTTACTGCCTTGAACAGAAGGACATAAGCCTATCTGCCTTTGCCACTGGATAATTGTACAGCCTTAGGGCCTTGAGCAAACATAGGCAGTAGCAAGTTTGTGATTACTGTAGGCCTTGGGGAAGACCCAGTGCTGCAATGGCTTCAGGACTGACCCAGTGTCATCTCAGTAGTGGTGGTCCAGGTGGATCAGCATAGAGAGCAAGACTCCATTTGTTTGGGAGAAAATAAGGGAAGAGAACAAAAATCTCTGCGTGGCAATGCAGAGAATTTTGGTGTCTTGTCCAAAACTACCAAGGCAGTACCTCTATGAGTCTGCAAGAACCACAGTGTTAATTGGCTTGGGGTGTCCCCTAATACAGATATGGCTTAGATCACAACACCCAAGTCCTTTTAAATACCTGGAAAGCCTTCCCAAGAAGGATGGGTACAAGTAAGCCCGGACTGTGAAGACTACAGTAAATGCCTAACTCTTTAATGCCCAGAAACCAGTGAATACCTGTAAGTGTCAACACCATCCAAGAAAACATGACCTTACTAAATGAACTAAATAAGGCACCATGGACCAATCATGGAGAAACAGAGACATGTGACCTTTCAGACAGACAATTCAAAATAGCTGTTTTGAGGAAATGCAAAGTAATTCAAGATAACAGAGAAGGAGTTCAGAATTCTATCAAATAAATTTAACAGACTGAAATAATTAAAAAGAATTTAGCAGAAATTCTGGAGTTGAAAAATGCAATTGACATAATGAAAAACACATCAGTCTTTTAATAGCAGAATTGATCAAGCAGAAGAAATAACTAGTGAGCTTGAAAACAGGCTATTAGAAAATACATAGTCAGAGGAAACAAAAGAATAAAGGACACCTACAAGGCCTGGAAAATAGCCTCAAAAGGGCAAATCTAAGAGTTATTGGCCTTAAAGATGAGGTAGAGAAAAAGATGAGGTAGAAAGTTTATTCAAAGGGATAGTAACAGAGAACTTCCCAAATCTAGAGAAAGACATCAATATCTGAATACAAGAAAGTTACAGAACACCAAGCAGATTTAACCCAAGGAAGACTACATAAAGGCATTTAATAAGCAAACCCCCAAAGGTCAAGGACAAAGAAAGGATCCTAAAAGCAGCAAGAGAAAAGAAACAAATAACAAAAAATGGAGCTCCAGTATGTCTGGCAGTAGACTTTTCAGTGGAAACCTTACAGACTAGGAGAAAGTGGCACGATATATTTAAACTGCTGAAGGAAAAAAAAAAAAAACTTTTACCCTGGAATGGTATATCCAGTGAAAATTTCCTTCAAACATTAAGGAGAAACAAAGACTTTTCTAGACAAAAAAAAGCCGAAGGACTTCATCAACACCAGACCTGTCCTACAAAAAATGCTAAAGGGAGTACTTCAATCAGAAAGAAAAGGATAATTAATGAGCAATAAGAAATCATCTGAAGATAGAAAACTCACTGGTAATAGTAAGGACACAGGAAAACCACAGAATATTATGACATTCTAACTGTGGCATGTAAACCACTCTTATCTGAAGTAGAATGACTAAACAATAAACTAATTAAAACTAATAACTACAATAACTTTTCAAAACATAGTGCAATAAGATATAAATAGAAACAACAAAAGGTTAAAAATCAGGAGAATGACATTAAAGTGTACTTTTTTATTGGTTTTATTTTTGCTTGTTTGCTTGTTTATGCAAAGGGTTAAATTATCATCTGCTAAAAAGAATGGTTTATAAGATAGTGTTTTAAGCCTCATGGAGACCTCAAAACCATATAAAACAAGAAAATGGCAGGAGTAAGTCCTTATCAGTAATAACATTCACTGTAAATGGACTAAGCTCTCCAACCAAAGTACATAGAGTGGCTGATGGACTAAAAAAAAACAAGACCCAGTGACTTGTTGCCTACAAGAAACTCACTTCATATATAAAGACACACATAGAGTGAAAATAAAGGAATGGAAAAAAGATATTCCATACCAACAGAAACCAAAAAAGAGCAAGAGTCACTATATTTACATCAGACAAAATATATTTCAATAAAATACCCATAAGAAGATACAAAGAAAGTCACTATATAATGATAAAGGGATCAATTGAGCAAGAGTATATGACAATTGTAAATACATATATACGCCCAAGACTGAAGCACCCAAATATATAAAGTAAATATTATTAGAGCTAATGAGAGAGATAAACTCCAAAACATAATAACTAGAGACCACACACTTCACCACACATTCAGGATTGGACAGATCCTCCAGTCAGAAAATCAACAAAGAAATATGAGACTTACTCTTCACTATAGAACAAATGGACATAATAGATATTTACAGAATATTTCACCCAATGACTGTGGAATACACATTCTTCTCCTCAGCACATGGATTATTCTCAAGTATATATCATATGTTAGGTCACAAAACAAGTCAAAAAAACATTTAAAATTTGAAATAATATCAAGCATCTTCTCTGACCACAGTGGAATAAAACTATAAATCTATAACAAGAGGAATTTTGGAAAGTATGCAAACACATGGAAATTAAACAATATGCTCCTGGATGACCAGTGTATCAGTGAAAAAATTAAGAAGAAATTTAAAAATGTCTTGAAACAAATAATAACAGAAACATAGCATAACAAAACCTATGGGATACGTTTCTGTTATTTATGTTCCCATCCTAAGAGGGAAGCTTAGAACTAAAACTGCCTACATCAAAAGAGAAGAAAAATTTCAAATAAACAACCTAATGATACATCATAAAGAACTAGAAAAGCAAGAGAAACCAAAACCAAAATTAGTAGAAGAAAAAAGTACTCATGATCAGAGCAGAAATAAATAAAAATGAAATGAAGAAAAAATACAAAAGATCAATAAAACTAAAACTTTGTTTTTTATGTGCTTAGATTAGCTCTCTTACTTTCTGTTTTGATAAAGATTTTAAAAAAGCCCTTTTTTTTTCTTTTTTTTTTTTTTTTTTTTTGCTTTTACATGAAGCTGCATGTTAAATGAATTTTGAAAACAATTTCAACCCAAACCAACATTCTCTGGAATGATTAGGACAGAAAAATAGAAATATTGAAAGATTTTGTCTGCTTTTTTTATTGGAACAAAAATATTTTAGCTGCTTATCATACAAATCATGACTTTTATACACTATCCATAAATATTTTGTCCATTACTCATCAACTGAAAAAAGAATGTTTAAAGACAGAAACAGAAAGGTAACTCTGATTCTTAGATGGACAATTTCCTTTTTGGTGCGTGGACTTACAATCACTGTAGTACCAACACTACACTAACCAAAACAGCATGGTGCTGGTACAAAAAACAGACACATAGACCAAAGAAACAGAATAAAGAACCCAGAAATAAGGCTGCACGCTTACAACCATCTGATCTTTACAACGCTGACAAAAATAAGCAATGAGGAAAGGAATCCCTATTCAATAAATGGTGCCGGGATAACTGTCTACTTGTATGCAGAAGAATGAAACTGGACCTCTACTTATCACCATATACATAAATTAATTCAAGATAGATTACAGACTTAAATGTAAGACCTCAAACTATAAGAATCCTAGAAGAAAACCCGGAAAATACTCTTCTGGACATTGGCCTTGGGAAATAATTTATGGCTAAGTCCCCAAAAACAATTGCAACACAAACAAAAATTGACAAGTGTGATGTAATTAAACTAAAGAGCTTCTGCACAGAAAGAAAAACTACCAACGGAGTAAACAGACAACCTACACAATGGGAGAAAATATTCACAAAGTATGCATAAAACAAAGGACTAATATCCAGAATCCTTAAGGAACTTAAACAATTCAACAGGCCAAAAACAATGCCATTGAAGCGTAGTGGGAGGATGCGGTGAGATAAGGGTAGTTAATGGGTAAAAAAAGAATACTTAGAAAGAATGAATAAGACTAGTATTTGATAGCACAACAGAGTGACTATACTCAATGATAATTTAATTGCACATTTTAAAATAATTAAAACAGTAAAATTAGATTGTAACACAAAGGATAAATACTTGAGGAGATGCAGACTCCATTTTACATGATGTGATTATTATGCACTGCATGGCTGTATCAAAATATCTCATGCACCCCATAAATATATACATCTACTATGTACCCAAAAATTAAAATTAAAAAATTTTACAAAATATGATAAAGTTGGCAAAGGAAGACACACTTCTCAAGAGAGACATAGAAGCATCCAACAAACATATGAAAAAATGCTCTGCATCACTAATCATCAGAGAAATACAAAATAAAACCACAATGAGATACCATCTCATACCAGTCAAGATGGCTTTTGTGAAAAAGGCAAAAAATTACAGATGTTGGCAAGGCTGCAGACAAAAGGGAACCCTCATACGCTGTTGGTGGGAATGTAAATTAATTCAGTACTGTAAAAAGCAGTTTGTAGATTTCTCAAAAAACTAAGAGTTGAACTACCATTCCTCCTGGCCATCCCATTACTGGTTACATACCCAAAGGAAAATAAATTGTTCCACCAAAAAGACACATGTACAAGTATGTTCACAGCACTATTCACAATAGCAAAGACATGGATTCAAACACAGTGCCCATCAATAGTGAATTGATGAAGAAAATGTGGTACATATACATGATGGAATACTACACAGTCATAGAAAGAACAAAATTGTGTCCTTTGCAGCAATATAGATGCAGCTGGAAACCATCATCCTAAGCAAACTGACACAGAAACAGTAAACTAAATACTGCATATTCTCACTTATAAGTGGGAGCTAAACATTAGGTACACATGGCCATACAATGGGAACAATAGACACTGGGGAATACAAGAGGTAGGAGAGAAAAGAGGAGGTAAGGGTTGGAAAAAACTATCAATCGGGTACTATGCTCTAGGGGTGACAGATTCATTCATATTCTAAACCTCAGCATCATAAATATGTCTTTGTAATAAACCTGCATATGTACCCTTGATTCTAAAATAAAAGTTGAAAAAAGAAAAAAAAAACACTGTAGTAAAAAAAATAGTTCAGTAATCCCAGGGGTTTGGGTTACAGGTAAAGAGAGAAAGAGAAATAAAACAGAAGGAAGAACCTCAGCGAGATGCTGAAAGCCAAGAGCATCCATGCTTGGCCAGTGTTCCCTCTAGTCTTTTATACACTGTGGTGAGCAAGACCTTGAATGCAAAAACATGAGAGGTGAAGTTGTTGGCCCTATGGTCAGGCAATTAAAGATACCAATCCTTAGCAGCACGGTAGACCTGAGGATTGTGCTTTAGAGTAGGTGAGCAAAGGGAAAGATTGAAAACAACAAAACAAGCAAAACCAACGAGATGAGATACTAGCATAAATCATTGAAAAGTACAAGTGTTAAGGCAGTTAGTCTAAATGTATTACTGTGGCTTCTTGTTAGCAGAATAGCCCTCCTGAAGATAATTACAATATCTGAACAAATGTAAAAAGAAAAAGAAGTTGAACACACTGAGAGCGACAATAAGCAGAACTGAAAGGGATTTGGTCCTTGAAGAAAAGGACACACACAAGGTAGAACTAACATTTAAATGGCCTCCTTCTAATGATACTACAAAGTGCATACAGGATTGGCAAATAGAACATAAAAAATTGTAGTTTTTATTTTACATTACATTATTTTGTTTTGTTTTGTGGCTTGCGAAGTTTAAGTAGTCTAGGCTACAATAATAGGGAGATACCAAGGAGAGAAATCTTGCATAGAAGGGACACACAATGGAAGGCCCAAAATTGTCATCTACCCTCTCACATTCTTTGCTGACTACTGAGTGGTATCAGCCTAAAGTAATCAAAAGAGTCAGAATCTAATGTGAAGATATTACTCAAGTGAAAAATTTAAGGATGGCCCACCAGGAAACTCCAGTTTCCAAAAGAAACTTCAGAGGAATAGAGTCAGCATTCCCAAGGAGGGAAGTTAAAGTTTCATTTATACAGGGAGAGACGGGAGTTTCATCTAAGTTTAATACATAGTTGAAGCATTTTGATTGGTGATAGGCAGTGTTTCTTTTGGGAAAGAGGTCATTTCACAATTTTTTTAACACAGGGTATAACAGTCATAGGTTTTCCAACATATTGTCTAAGCAAAGCAGGAACAACAAAGGGAAGTTAATTTATAACAAGGGTAATTAATTTAAAAGGCAGGAGGTTTTTGTCTCTCATGTCATTTAATTCTCTCTAGTCATTGAACAGAACAAGGAAAATAAGAAAGCGAGTTAATCTATAATCTGAGAATAAGAAGTTGTAACTATATGTGACTCAGATCTCGTTCACATCAATCTCAAGGCTTCACAATGGCAAACAGGGAGGACTTGAAGAACTCTAGAAGAAAACAGTTGGAAGGCTATATGAATTGAGCAGAGATTACACAGGTTTCCTACTGCATAAAAATTTGGAGTATAAATCTTTCCAGGTTAAAAAGGCCCTAGTAAGTACCTCAGGTTTGCCACAGACCTGCCCTAACAAAGCACAAAAACAAGACTCCATGAGTTTAACGTAATTAGCAAATAATTTGACTCTGACAGAATAAAGGTAACACTCTTCAGAGGAAAATAACAGAATTAGTAGTTTCTACAATAAATCAGAATTTTCAGAAAAAATTTAGCAGATAATCAAAGAAGTAGAAAAATGTTACCAATGATCACAAGCACACACACATACACAGAAAGCACTTAGTAGAAATAGACAAAATATGACTAAGAGTTGAAATTACCAGACAAGAAATTTAAAGTAGCTATTAAAAATAGGCTCAATGTAGTAAACAAAAATATATGCTTATAATGAATAAAAATTAGAAAATCTTAGCATACTAATTGAAAATATTTTAAAAACTAAATTAAAATTCTAGAATAAAAAATTACCTATATCAAAATTTTCCGTGCTGGGAATAAAAGCAGATTGGAGAGGAAGGAGAACTGGTCAAAGAATGATTAATAGAAATAATTTGTTTTGAAGAACTGAAAAATAAAGGATTGAATAATAAAGATTAGATTCTCAGTGACCTGTGGAGCAATATCCAGTCTAAAATATATAAAGTCCTAAAAGAAACAGTGGGAAAAAGGGGGTAAAAACATATTCAAAGAAAAGTCCAAAAATGTCCCACATTTTGTGACAATGTCAACTTGCAAATTCATAAACTAAGCAGGATTAATATAAAAAAAACCCCACACCTAAGCATATTATTGTCATACTGCTGAAAACCAAAGATAAAGACAAAATCTTGAAAACGGCCAGACATAAAAAAATAAATTACACACAGAGTAAAGATATGAATGGGATCTGGCTTCTTACCAGAAACAATGAAGGCCAAAAGATGAGAGAACATCTCTTAAGTTCTATAAAATATGTCAACCCAGAATTACTTTTCCATCAAAAATATAATTCAAAAATTAGGGAAAAATAAAGTCATTTTCAGGTAAGTGTAACTGAGAGAATTTGTCACCCTCAGATCTGTATTATAAAAAAGAAGTATAACAGCTAAAGATAAATATATGAGATGAAATATGGGTCTACAGAAACAGCACTGATAATGCTAAATATGTGAGTAAATATAAAAATGAAAATTCTCTCTTAATTCATTTAAAAGATATCACTGTTTAAAGAAAAAAAAAGTGGCCACGTGCAGTGACTCATGCCTGTAATCCCAGCACTTTGGGAGGCCGAGGTGGGTGGATCACAAGGTCAAGAGGTTGAGACCATCCTGGCTAACATGGTGAAACCCCGTCTCTACCAAAATTACAAAAAGTAGCTGGGCGTGGTTGTGCGCGCCTGTAGTCCCAGCTACTCAGGAGGCTGAGGCAGGAGAATCTCTTGAACCCGGGAGGTGGAGGTTGCAGCGTCACTGCACTCCAACCTGGCGGCACAGTGAGACTCCGTCTCAAAAAAGAAAACCAAAAAAGAAAAAAAAGTATAACGTTATATCACGGAATTTATAATGTATGTAAATATAAATTACATGAAAACAATAGCAAAAAGAAGGGTAAAGTAGCACAATAATTAACTTTAAGTAATCTATGTTGAGTTAGGAACACATATTTAATCCCTACAGCAGCCTCTAAAAATAACACAAAGTCATATAGTTAAAAAGTCAATGGAGAAAATAAAGTGGAATATTAAACTGGACTATTAAACTCATTTTTAAGAAGACGGGAAAAAGTACAGAGAAACAAAACAATAGGTGGGATAAGTAGAAAACAAACAGCATAATGATAGACAATTCAAAGTGAGTCATTAATTAGACTAAAGGTAAATTACTAAACACTCCAATTAAAAGGAAGAGATTGTTTAAGTTGGTAAGGAAAGTAAAATTTGCTTTCCATAAGGAAGGTACTTTAAATATAAAGAATAGGCTTGAAAGAAAAAGAAGAAAAAGATATGCCACGTAAATACTAATATAAGAAAAACGAAGTGGTTATATTACTAATATAAGACAAAGTAAGCGGGGACGAGGAATATTGCCAGAAACTAACAGAAACTTTTTATGATGATAAAAGAGTAAACTCATTAAGGAGATATAACAATCCTAAATGTGTATAAACATAACAGCAAAGCTTCAAATCACAAGAAGCAAAAAACAATAGAAATAAAGGGAAAAGTGGATGAATCCACAATCATAGCTGAAGTTTTTAACACTTCTTTCTTAGTAATTGGTGAACATGCTGGACCAACTATTAATAAGTTCATAGAATATTTCAACAACAATCTCATCCTACTACTCATCCTAATCAACATTCATGGGACATTTCACCCAACAAAGGTAGAAAAATCATCTTTAAAGTATACATGAAATGTTTAGTGGAATATGCCATATATGCGCAATAAAATAAATCTTAAATTGCAAAATGTTTAAAATTAATTCACATCAGAATTGTAAATCAAAAACAAAGTTAATTTTTAGAATTAGTAACATATTTTAAAGTCTCAAATATAAATAAATAAGACAGTCTATTTGAAATTACATAGATTTAAGAAGAAAACACAAAGGACTTTAGAACATATTTCTGATTTGATGACAATTGATAATAAAATATAGTAGATCAAAATTTATAAAATTAAGTGCTCAGAAGGAAATTCAAAGCTTTAAAAAACTTATACTAGAAAATAAGAAAGGCCTAAACATTTACTTATCACTTTAGAAAATTAGAAAAAGAACTAACTGTAGGCAAAGTAAGTTGGCAAAAGGAAATAATGAAAACAAAAATAGAAATTAATTAAATGGAAAACAAAAATAACTAGACATCCAGAAATCAAGAGAGAGAAAAATTAACAAGTAAGGAATTCAAAGGAGATGCCACTACAGATAGTAAAACCATTAAAATGATATAAATAAATATATTGAATAATCAAATGACAGAAAATTCAACATCACGGATGAGATGAAAAAAACTGAAGAAAAACACAACTTATCAAAACTGACACATGGAAATTAAGAATGTGAATAGCAGTATAGCTATCCAAAGAAGATGGATTTTTTTCTTTGAAGTCTCACTACAGATGATTTCAATGCAAAATTCTATCAAGTATTTCACAAAGAAATTATGTCAATCTTACAGGAAATCCTTCAGAAAACACAGAGAACTCCTCTCAGCTTATTTTCTGAGGCTAACGTAATCTTTATGCCAAAACCTGGCTGAACTATTACCTATAAAAGAAAATCAAAGCCAAAAATCTCTCATGATTATAGAAACAAAAATCGTTAATACGTTATTAGCAAATAAAATTTAGCAATACATAAAAAATTGTGTCAAGGTGTATCCTGGAAATACAGGTTTGTTTAATATTTGAAAATCTATGTAATTTACTACTTAACAAAATATAGAGAAGAAAACTAAATAATTATTACAGTTTCAGATAAAACATTTAACAAAATTCAGTATCTGTGCTTAATTTAAAAAACAAAAACAAACTCAGAAACCTAGGAATAATGGGGGCATCCATTATTGATAAATGGTATCCATGAGAAACCTACAAGCTAGTATTAATATAATATAAAATGTTAATGTGAAATTGACACACTTTCTTCCTAAGTTTGGGAACAAGGGAATATTGGTTATTATTTTACTACTTTTATCATTATTAAGGCATAACTAGCTAATACAAATGCAGTAAAAAAAAAAAAAGACATGGAAATTATAAAGGAAAAAGTAAAAAAAGTAAAAGATTCTATATTTGTTGGGGGCATAAGTGTTTATATAGAAAGTGCTAAGGAAATACAAGAACTGTATTAATTTGCTAGAGCTGCCATAACAAAGAAGCGGTTGGCAACAGAAGCTTATTTCCTCACCGTTCTGGAGCCTAGAAGTCCAAGATCAATTCACAGCAGGTTTGGTTTCTCCTGAGCCCTCTCTCCTCAGCTTGCAGATGGCCACCTTCTAGGTAGTCTTTCTTCTGAGTCCCTGGTATTTGTGTGTCTAAATTTTCTTTTTTTTCTTTTTTTTTGAGACGGAGTTTCACTCTTGTTGCCCAGGCTAGAGAGCAGTGGCATAATGTCAGCTCACTGCAACCCCCACCTTCCAGGTGCAAGCAATTCTCCTGCCTGAACCTCCCGAGTAGCTGGGATTACAGGCACACACCACCACACCTGGCTAATTTTTGTATTTTTAGTAGAGACGGGGTTTCACCATGTTGGCCAGGCTGGTCTTGAACTCCTGACCTTGTGATCTGCCCACCTTGGCCTCCCAAAGTGTTGGGATTACAGGCGCGAGCCACCGTGCCCGGCCTAAATTTTCACATTTTACAAGCCCACTAATCAGACTGGATTAGGGCCTAGCCTTACGGCCTCAATTTAACTTAATCACCTATTTAAAGGCCTTGTCTCCAAATACAATCTCATTCTGAAGTACTGGGTGTTAGGACCTCAACACATGAATTTGGGGGTGACAAAATTCAGCTCATAACAAGAATAAGTGAATTTTAAAATTTTGAAGTATATATTCTCAATATACACAATTCAGTTGTATTTTTATATAGTAGCAGCAAAAAATAGAGAATAAGATTTAAAAAACATTTCATTTACAATAGCATTAGAATCAGAAAATACTTATATAAAAATTAAAATATATGCAATGTAATATGGAAAAAATACACCACTCATACACACAACTTGAATCAATCTTAAAAACATATTTTGAGTCAAAGAGGGCAGTCATAAAAGAATATATACAGTATTATTTTACTTCATGAAGTTCAAGAGAAGGAAAATTACTCCAAGGTAATAAAAATTAGAACAGTCTCTGCCTATTCGGGGATTGACTGGAAAGAGAATAAGCAAGTACTCTCAGGTGATTTATATGTTCTATAGCTAGCCTGTGTAGTGACTACACACATATAAATATTTATTAAGGCCGGGCATGGTGGCTCATACCTGTAATCCCAGCACTTTGGGAGACTGAGGCAGGCAAATCACCTGTGGTCAGAAGTTTGAGACCAGCCTGGTCAACATGGTGAAATCCCGTCTCTACTAAAAATACAAAAATTAGCCAGGCATGGTGGCGCGTGCGTGTAATCCCAGCTACTCAGGAGGCTGAGGCAGGAGAATCACTTGAACCCGGGAGGCGGAGGTTGCAATGAGCTGACATCTCACCACTGCACTCCAGCCTGGGGGGACTCCATCTCAAAATAAATAAATAATAAATAAATAAATAAACAAATATTTATTAAAAGTTGTTGAATTGTACACTTAAGGTCTGTGCATTCTCTGTAAATTTTACTTCAAGTGTGTGTGTGTGTGTGTGTGTGTGTGTGTGTGTGTGTAAAATTGGAGTAACATGAAATACCAATTTCCAGGAAGGTAGTGTACTATAAAAACTAAGAGAACAAGTTTTGCAGTCAAAGAGAATTATAAACCCAGATCTGCCACCCACTGGCTTTGTGGTATTAGATGATTTATATCAAGCTTGTCCAACCCAAGGCCTGTGGGCTACATGTGGCCCAGAATGGCTTTGAATGCAGCCCAACAAAAATTTGTAAATCTTTTAAAAACATTATGAGATTTTTTGAGATTTTTTTTTATCATCAGCTATTGTTAGTGTTAGTGTATTTTATGTGTGGCCCAAGACAATTCCTCTTCCAATGTAGCCTAAGGAAGCCAAAAGACTGGACATCCCTGATTTATATAATGTGTGTGAGCCTATACATTCCAGTCAGAAAACCGGGGGTGTGAGGGGGTAGTAATAATATCTACCACATCGAGTTATCATGAGGCTTAAATAACATGTATGGAAAAGGCTTACCACAGTGCTAGTGTATAGAATGTACTCAAAAAGTAGTAAAAGTTATTATGATTAAAGTGCAATCGATGTTTTAAAGAAAAACAGTGGTTTTATCCTTAGGCTGAATTGTCTTCTACCCAGTAGTGTAATACAATACAAGATACTCACATGGAGAGAGAGATGAAGGATAAAAGAATAGCAGATCAGACAAGCTGCTGCAGTATAAGGCAGAATGTTTACATTAGCATAATTGAAGGAAACAGAAATTCAGTGCCATTTCTAGGGATATTGTGAAGATTAAATGAGGTGCAACATGAAAAATTACTTGGCTTGATGTCAGGTATTCAGTAAACCTTCAACAGGTGGTCAATATTAACTTATTTGTATTACCATTCAACTTTATTAGCACAAATGCTAATAAATGTTTTCAAAAGCTTTTTAAAAACTATTTTTTTCAGAAAATACACCGTATAATCTATCTCCTAATAGTTTATTCCAATTGACTGTTACTCCTTTACTCAACAGATATATATTTCTTAACAGATTAATAATTCTTACTTATATGGTGGCTTTTAAAAATGTACAGTCATATAAATTCATATACCTGAGTAAAAGATGTTTTCCTGTAAGATTTGCTAAGTTATATTTATTCCATTTTAATTTTTCCCCAAAATCAAGTCCTCAAGCATGTTAATTACTCCTACTGCTCTTCCAATGTATTACCCTTTGTTTATCTAGTTCTAAAAGTATGTGACAATGTTCAGATCTCAGCCAATTTTAATTAACTTCTGAGTTTTTAAACTACTGAAACTGTCAAATAGTTATGCTGGATAGATACTGAAATTTTAATATAATTTGATGAATTTGGAAATTCTTCTCTTAATCATGCTGCTTATTACAAGAGTTATTTTGAATGTGTGATTTCCCTCTCCTTTTTCCCTCTCAATGAAATCATTAAACGCGGTTTTCTACCCTATCTTTGGCCAACTTTTGATCATAAAATAAATTTGTAAGCTCTGGATTATTAGTACTTTTATTTATACATATTTTTGTTTTTATTCTCGCAACCTCTCAATATTTTAATTGTATCTATTTTAGTAATCAACAGAGAATTTCCAAACTGAGGATCAGGAAAAAAAAAAAAACAAATAAAGGTGAAATATTTAAAATGTTATCAGTTTTATTGCTCACTAACAGACCTCTTAAATAACAGCAGTGGAAAAAAAACCACCTTAAACCTTCTCTATCATAAAGTAATTTCAGGAAGGTAGTTGGAAAATAAATGATTGGGATAATATCTCTCAAAAACTAGATCAATTTGTCAATCCTAATTTCTATTAGAGTTAAACCAGCGCTTTGTCTTGGCTTTGGAAACATATTACATGATTAGGTAAGGATAATGTGCGATTTAATTAACAAGGTTTTTGCATGCAAGCATATCAATATATAGGGATTTCTCTAGGATGCCAATCACCATTCTATTCCTAAAAGTGTGAGTATATCTCTTGAAATCATATTTACAATAATATACTTAAGAATATTCCTTTTAAAAAAGAATATTCTCAATATATTAACTTTTATATACAAAAGAAAAATTTAGTCCAGATCTTGAAAGAAATTTCACACATTTCGCTTTATCTTATTTATTTTTATAATTTCAAATTTATTTTAGATTCATGGTACATGTGCAGTTTTGTTTCATAGGTATATTGTGTGATACTGAGGGTTTTCTGTTCTTGGATTAATTTGCTTAGGATGACAGCCTTCAGCTGCATCTATGTTGCTGCAAAGGACATGATTTTGTTCTTTTTATGGCTAGGTAGTATTCCATGTTACATATGTACCACATTTTCTTTATCCAATCCACCGTTGATGGGCATCTAGGTTGATTCTCTGTCTTTGTAATTGTAATTAGTGCTGTGATGAACATATGAGTGTATGTGTCTTTTGTGTAGAATGATTTATTTTCCTTTAGGTATATATCTAGTAATGGGATTGCTGTGTTTAAGGTAGTTCAGTTTTAAATTCTTTGAGAAAACTCCAAACTGCCCTCCATGGTGTCTGAACTAATAATTTACATTCCTATCAACAGCATATAAGTGTTCCCTTTCCTCCACAGCTTTGCCAGCATCTGTGATTTTTGACTTTTTAATAATAGCCATTCTGACTGCTGTGGGAAGGTATCTCATTGTGGTTTTGATTTGCATTTCTCTGAATGATTAGTGATGCTGAGTATTTTCATGTTTTTTGACCATTTGTATGTCTTCTTTTGAAAAGTTTGCGTCTTTTACCCACTTTGTAATGGGGTTATTTGGTTTTTGCTTATTAAATTTTTTAACTTCTTTATAGATTCTTGTTCTTAGACCTTTGTTGGATGCATACTTCATGAATATGTTCTCCCATTCTGTAAGTTGTCTGTTTAGTCTGTTGATAGTTTCTTTTGTTGTGCAGAAGCTCTTTAGTTTATATGTCGCACCTGTCAATTTTTGGTTTTGTTGCAATTGCTTTTGAGGATTTAATCATAAATTATTTCCCAAGATCGACGTCCAGAAGAGTATTCCCCAGGTTTTCTTCTAGGATTCCTGTAGTTTAACAATGTTAGGTCTCACATGTAAACCTTTAACCCATCTTGAGTTAATTCTGTAAGTGGTGTAAGGAAAGGGTCCAGTTTTATTATTCTCCATAAGGATAACCCAGCTATCACATCACCATTTTCTAAACAGTGAGTCCTTTCCATATTCCTTATTTTTGTCAACTTTGTTGAAGATCTGATGGCTGTAGGTGTGTGGCTTTACTTCTGGGTTCTTCATTCTGTAGCATTGGTCTATGTGTTTGTTTTTGTACCAGTACCATGCTATTTTTGGTTACTGCAGCCTTATAGTATAATTTGAAATCAAGTAATGTGATGCCTCTTGATTTGTTCCTTTTATTTAGGATGGCTTTGGCTTTCAACCTCTTTTTTGGTTCCATACACACATTTTGTTTTAACATAATCTTAATTATAGATTTTAAAATGTTTTATTCAACTGTGCTGGTCTTTTTCTTCCATTAATATGTTGATCATTTCTAAACTTTTCTTAATACGTGGCAATGGTTCAACAAAATAAAGAGGTTCTGTTCTTATGAATATCATATATTTATAGGATATCTTAATTCAACTTTTCAAATGAGCATTATTCAAGCTTATAACTTTGACACAAAAAGTTGATAATGCTGGATGAAAAAGAAAAATAGGACTAACTCATGTCCTTCTTTGTTGTTAATGTTTATTTTGTTCTGTTCTGTTTTAAGGTACTCTGGTACACTAAGAAAGGATGAAATGCTTGTAGAAGGCAAGCATTTAAAATACATGCTTTCTATAGTCCCTTCATAAGAAGTAGAGTCCATCATGGTGTCTCTAATGTAAAAGATGAATTTTCCAGAAGAGATAAAACCATGGTTCTCATACAAATATAAAATTAATGCATGTCAAAGATTATATTTAACTCACTAGTAAATGAGGAAACAAGTAAGATGTTACAACTCCCTCAGAAAAGAATTTAAAGTGTTTCCACATATAAGTAATCAGGAATTCTGAAATAAATTTTCAAATAGATACAAAATTGATCACTATATATAAGACAATATAATAATCAATGGCATTCCACCTAACATATTTCATTTGTATTTCTGTGGGCAAAAATCACATGCATTATTATCAATTTTCTGACAATCGCTCTCCAAGAAAACAACAAGCAAACGTGCTGAGAAAGGTGCACTAGATAGAATGCCTAATAGTCTTGTTTGCCCATTTCAAGATCTTTCACAATTTTTACCTAGACTAAAATGTTTTCTTAAAAGTCTTCTTGGCCGGGTGTGGTGGCTCATGCCTGTAATCCTAGCACCTTGGGAGGCTGAGGCTGGCAGATCATGATCATCCTAGCTAACATGGTGAAACCTCGTCTCTGCTAAAAATACAAAAATTAGCCAGGCATGGTGGCACGTGCCTGTAGTCCCAGCTACTTGGGAGGCTGAGGCAGGAGAATCGCTTGAACCCAGGAGGCGGAGGTTGCAGTGAGCCGAGATCATGCCATTGCACTCCAGCCTGGGTGACAGAGCAAGGCTCAGCCTCAAAACAAAAAAGTCTTCTTAAACTCCTTAAACATCTGTCCTAATCAGAACTGAAATAGTTTTAGTTTTTCAACACTATTAGTTGGGGTGAATAGCACTTTCTGGCTCACACAGAGTTTATGCATTATGTTGGAAGAAAGGTAACTTCTTACATTTAAGAAAGAGGATAGAATTTAGGAAGTTTCCACTAGGAGTAAAAACAAAGGTTTGTAGGGGAAAAGGCAATCAGTGCTGATGGGAAACTTAATGTCATAATGTTGGGCATGTGTCAGCAGAGAGCATGACTATGAAGGATAGCACCAGCCCACGCAGAGCAGCAGACCCAACAGAGAACCAATGATGGAGCTGCTGTTGTAGCCAGAGATGCAATGGTATGGATTCCAAGTCCCATGGGCTAAGAATGAGCCCTATCCCTGGTTTCCCAGATCTATGTAAGCTCAGAGTTTTCAAATGGAGGAACAGATCCTAAATATGCCTGATAGCAGATTTCTGGTCTAACCTCGTAACTCAAGACTCTGTGCTGAATATAATCTGACTTATAAAAGTAATGTGACATTTATAGAAAAGAAATATAGTATAGTAAGTCCATTCCCACCATACTAGTTTAGCATTTGGTTAATGGCATTACAAAAAAAGATTATCTATTCTTCATTTATTTATATTTCCAAGGCCAATAAAGCACAGAATTTTTTACTTTGGGAAAATAAAGATCAGAAATAAAATAGTAAAACACATTGCAGAGTATGTTTTATAAAACTGTTTCCTAAAACCCTTGAAATTTTTAGATTTTGCTAGTTAATTCAAAATCAGAGATTAGTAATCTGTTGCGATATCCAACTATGTTTGTGAATGAATGAGGTGTGCATACCAGTGTGAAATTTTTATCAGTTATAGCTTCACTGGAAGAGGTTTTACCTCTAGAGGAGCCAACATATTCCTTTTATGGATATTTCAGAAAATAAAGTCAGTTATCAGCTTAATATAAACCCCCTTAATAGATCATAACATCACTCACATCTATTAAAGCACTCAATTGTTGATCCATGCATCCATTCAATAGATATTTATGTAGTGACTTTTCGTTGGCAGACAGTGTTGTGAGAGCACAGCAATGGCAAAATCTCCACTCCCACAGAGCTTTTATTTCAATGAGAAGGAATAAAAGGGAAATAAATAATATGGAGAAAACCTACAAATGCAAAGGATATACAAGTTCCAAGCAGTGGAGAATGAAATTTATTGATGTCATCAGGAAAGGACTTAATGAAAAGATAACAACTGAGCAAAATTCTAAAATTGTGGAAGCACAATACTACATGCAGAATGCTAGGCAGAGATTTGCTGCAGAGGAATTAAAAAAAAAACAAACCACACCACCAACAAAACAACATTTACCCTGAGGAAGGAACACTGAGTATATCTGGAATGTTTAGGAACGGCAAAGAAATAAGTATGGTTGAAGCCCGCTGAGAAGAGACAGCAGTAGTGACACATTGTATGAGTTATTGTACGGACTCTAAATGGAATGGAAAACCATCTCATGCAACATATGATGGTAATGGTATAATTCCAAGATTGCCAGACATTTAAACAAGCATAATGCCCATTTACTGCACTTAAATTTGGTAGTTATAAAATATCAACTGGCAGTATAACATTTGCAAATTATTAAATAGCATTGTGTGTTCAGTTGCTGTAGCTAAGATCTAAGTATCAGTAGTTAAAACAAAGAAATGTTTATTTTTTCTCTTGCATAAAAGTCTAGACATAAGCAAACTAGGGCTGCAAGACAGTTCCATAGTATCAGGGATCCAAGTCCCTTCTGACTTCTTCTCTACAATCTCCAGTATATTGCCCTGTCAACATGGTCCAGAATGAATTATGACCAGATCACTACTCTAGTGAGTGGAAAAGATAAAAGGGAAATGGAGGGTTATGCCTTTCCTATAAGAGTGCAACCAGGCAGTTGTGCACCTCATTTTTCCTATCCCCATTGAAGATTACTTCAGCTAATGCTACTGAAAGCAAAGCAGGAACATGTAGTTTCTATTCTGGTTGGCCACGTGCCAAGTTAAAATTAGGGGTTTTATTATTAGGCTGGTGCAAAAGGAACTAAGGTTTTTGCCATTAAAAGTAATTAATGCCATTAAAAGTAATGGCAAAAACCGCAATTCTTTTTGCACCAATCTGTTACTAGAGAAAAAGCAGGTAATGGATGTTTGACAATTAGTATTGTCTAGTTTAAGCAGATTCAAATAACCATTTTAATTTAAAATGTATTAAGCATCTTTAAAAACAGTGTGAAATCAAAGAAAGAATATCTGACAAAGGGCCAAGAGATGTTGGTCCTTTTCCAGATCTACCAAGAACTAGCTGTGCAACCTTGAAGCAGTCACTCAACTCCTCTTAAATTTGGTATGCCATCTGTAGTACTGAACTAAAAATACTCAGCTGCACCTAAGCAAAAGATTCTCCCTAAAACTTTAGAAAAGTCACTTTTATCAAATGTATACTAGTTCTAAAATATTGAGGCCTATATAATGTTATAAAAACTCAACAGCAGAAATATCTGGCATCCAGCCCAAGGCATACCAGATGTGTCTCTTAAAAGCCAAAAGCAATTGTCTTTATCTTTGAAAATTAAGAGAAAAAAATCCAAAACTCAAAGTGAATATAATTTTTTCTACCTCTGTCCAGATGGAACTTTGCAATTGCCTCACTGATGGGGTACAATGACCCAGCTGAATGCACCACAGGATAACTGGCTGACATTCCTGACATCACAGCTGATAAGGTCAGCCAGATAATCTTCCAGCATGGATATAAGAAATAAGCAATTTGTTTTTGTACAGTTAACGTGGTTGCCACAGTATTTATTCACAGAAAGCTATTAGTTGCGAATGTGCCAGATAACTCTAAGAAGTGCTTTACTTGGGTTCACAAATCACAGAAGATGCTGAGATGTTGTCCTATGTTGGATCTTGTCAGAGATTTTGTTTTCTTCATTGAACACATTTCCTCATAGCCCATTTGTGGTTCTGCTCTCTTTGCTATCCGCTTTCCAATGCCAGAAAAACATTCATTCACGGGGCCAAAGCCAGTCATGGCAAAAACCAGGTCCTTTGCTCCTCTTTCAGTGAATGTTGTGAAGTCTCCCTCCATAAACAGAGAAAGGAAATTTGTCAGTCTTGATCTTGTGGCCAGAGTCAGAGTTCCCAGGAAAACCATTTAGTCTGAAGAAAATAGTATCCAGCCATAAAACAAAAAGAAATATTTTAGTGTCTACTAACATTGTAACCTAATACATATTTAAGAGAAAATAATAAAAAAGAAGGGCCTCACAAACACAAAAAACAAAAACATAGAATAACATCTCTTCATTTAGGTACTAACACTGTAGTCTATCAGAAACAATTACAGTGACTTAATGCTACACCTTTTTATTTTGATAACTTTTGTTGAGTGAGAAACATGATTAAAGTAAATGATTAAACACATGCTGCTTTACATAAATCAAATGTTCTGTGGGAATCAGAAAATCAGTGATTTTCTTTAATGGGTTAATTTGGTGTTCTGTTTAGAAAGCAAAAACCAGATATGATGACAGAGCACAAAAAGATAAATGTTCATACCTGCAATAGCAACAACAACCTCCACAGTTAACTTGACAGAATGAATTTCTGTGGATACATTTAATAATTGAGGTGCTGAGTAAGTTCAATTTATTCATTCTGGTCTACTTCACACAATGGGGATTGAGTCACTGGAATAAAATTCTGATGCTTCCAATCTCTGTCTTTTGTTTACGTTTTTTTTCTGAAGTCAGGCATTTAGTAATATGGGCTGATAAAACGGAAGACAAAAGATCAGTGCACAGCAAAATCGTTCAGGACCTAAAATTACTCATCCTCTCTATAGCTAATTTTGTTATGAATACTTTTGTAAAGTGAAGAATAGTTACCCTTTTGTTAAAAATAAATCTTCAAAAACTACTTTTGGCATCTGAACTACAAAAACAGTTGTGTTTAGTAAAAAGATCATTTACTTTAGAGTCATAAAATTAGGACTTGTATCATGGCTCCACCATTATAATGATTCAGTGATTCAAGGAATACGTACATATATAATATAAACTAACTGTTATGCTGTAGGCAGTAAACAAATATTAGTTTATATGCTAACTTAAGCATGAGATTTAACATAAAAGTCTTTACGGTACACTGGGTTAAGAGCATTAAATCTGGTGCCAGATTGCTTGGGTTTTAATCCTGCCACTTTTGATTTTATGTCTTCTGTATCTCAGTTTCCTCATCTGTAAAACTGGGATAGTGTATTAGTCCATTCTTACACTACTATGCAGAAATGCTCAAAACTGGGTAATTTATAAAGAAAAAGAGGTTTAATGGACTCGCAGTTCCATATGGCTGGGAGGCCTCACAATCATGGCAGAAGGTGAAGGAGGAGCAAAAGGCATGTCTTACATGGCAACAGGCAGGAGAGCATGTGCAGGAGAACTGCCCTTTATAAAACCATCAGATCTCATGAGACTTATTCAGTATCGTGAGAGCAGCATGGAAAAATCCTGCCCACATGATTCAATTCCCTCCCATCTGGTCCCTCCCACAACAATATGTGGGGATTATGGGAGCTACAATTCAAGATGAGATTTGGATGGGGACACACCCAAACCAAATCAGATAGCAATAGTATATACCACCTAAAGTTATTACGAGAATAAACAGAATTTATTTATTTGTAGTGGGGAGAGAGGGCCGAGGAGATAAGCCAAGAAGGAAGCTACATGGAGTACCAATCTTCATCGCACACATTTGGGCCATGAAGAGTAGATGACACTTGAGCCTCCTGGCTGGTCATGGACCAATGCAATACAAAGCAGAGCTCAGCCCCAGAGGAAAGAGCTTGAGGATGAGATCACCAGCAGGGGTCAGAAAGAAGATGAGGCAGAATATCTCAAGGGCTAACCATACCTGAGGGACCAGCTTGGGTCTGAGTGCCTGAGCCGTGGGGCCTGTTGAGGCCACCAGCCACACACCCTGTATCCTTAGGCAACAGTTTGTACCTGTGGTAATAACAAATAGGAAAAGTGATGCCATAGCAGGCAGTCATATAAGAAGACAGATGTCTGTTTCCTCTTCCTCTTTCCACCCCAATACAATAAGCATAAGTGCTGGGAAGGAACTTGGTGAATAAGTTTATATCTCACCCTTGCAGAGCTCACTAGTTGATAAGGCAAACATTCAAACAAAGAAATATTGAACAATTAACTTAACGACTTTATAAAGGTATTGTTTGTGTTGGGTCCTGAAGGATGAGTATGAATTCTCCAAGCAGGCAAGGGAAAGAAAAAAAAATTTAAAGTAAAATCTGATGCAAATATCATGAAGAAATTCTCAGAGGCATAAAAGTGCATGACATGTTCCCCCCCAAAAATCACTCAGTTAGAATTATGGGCACCAGGAAACAGGAAGATGACAAAGAAGTTAAGGAGGAGGCAAGAAAGAGGTGCTCCAGGATGCAAGGTGGAAAGAGTTTCATGCCGGGTATTGAAAGGCATTCCCTTTATACCCAGATAAAGGTTAGAAATTTATTCTGTAGGAAATTAGGAACCATTGAATAGCAACAACAAAAAAATGGAGACTTTTGAGTCTCATGTGTCATAAATTATCTTCCTGACTTTTTAAAACCAACTGGTGGCGAATGATTTCAAGAAGAATATTTGATATAAGAAATCTTAGGAAAAGAAATAAACACCATTACAGGGTTGCAAGGGAACTTATATATATGCATTTTACTAGACCAGAAATCTCCTCAGACATTAGAAAACCATAACAAACCATAAATTTCATGGTTGCCTATGATTTATTTGCTCCATACATACCTACACACATACCTACATACATACATACCTAAATGGACTGGCCACACAAATACCCCCAAAATATGTGATGCTGATAAATACATAGTAGCATTTGCTAGAGATTCAACTCCATATTGACCCCACTTTAGCTCTCTATTTGACCCTTTCTTTTTTTCCAATTGGGAGAAAAGAAAAATAAGGCAAAAGAGCCACAGTTTTTGGCAAAGCAGATTTAAAATAAGGTCTGCCAAGTTCAAAATTGAAAATGCAGCAGCTGTTTGCACAAAACATGGGCCAAAAAATTCCTGCGTGACTGACAATATGCCTTTGCTTCCGGCCTCACAATCCTTGATCAGGGTATTCGTTTCAGCAGCTGTCAGCTAAATCTAGAAGGAAGGTTTCTTCTTACTATAGGGGAGAAGATACCCAAAAGGAAAGAATTAAGGGTGCATACTCTATAATGGGAGTGCTTCTAAGGAGAAAATCTGTGCTTCCAATGGGGGGGAAATGTGCATGGGAATAGAAAAGTGACGTTTCTCACAATGTGGGTAGATTCAACACAATGCGTGTCCTAAATATTTGGAGAAGTGTCTTACTTCTGTTGCAGAGGAGAGCGCCAGAGGCCCAGACAGGGTGCACAGGACTAGAAGATACTAACTGCTTCTGGAGAAGGCACCTATGTCTGCCATGGCAACAGTGGAAGTGGCAGGAACAAACACTGAGAAAGTGTCTAAGGCAGCACCATCTCTCACATCAGCTCAGCAGCTGTGATGGGAGCAGGCCAAAGGCATTTGTGGAACCAGTTCAATAAGGGCAATGGCCACTGCCTGGCAAGTGCACAGCCAGCAGATGGAGAAAACTGCCTAAGGCTCAAAATATAAAGGAATTCCATGGTGATAATTGCAGTTAAGAGCACCCAAGGACACAGCAATGATTTAGAGAACAAAAACTTGGGGGGACAGGAAAGCAAATAAACAGCCCTTTTTACCTTCCTCATTCAACTGTAAAACAAATAGGAAGAAAGGAAAGTTGGACACATGGATATAAAATGATCACACTACTGATAAAGCTTATTGCAGAATATAGCTCAAGATCTGTAGTTAAAGTGGCTTGTTTAGGCTTTATCCTAAACCAGACATTGGCATATCTGGATAACCACAAGCCTTGTCTATTGAGGCAGGCTTGGTGAAAGGAACACCTGAATTGTATGTGCTGTGGACAAATTATATCTGGGAAGTGATAAGGAGCTGAAATTGACACATTAGGACTTCCATGTTCCAAATAAAATTATTCACTCTCCCACCCATGGGTAGGAATAAAAAGAGAAAGGATAGAGGTTCTCTCCCCAACCCACTGTAATTTTTTCTAGAGAGTGAAGTAGTAATTCTCTCCCCTTCATGGAAACATGAGGGGCATGAAGGGGGAATACTATTACACTAACTATAAGAATAATAGCAACTATTATTTATGAAATGTTTGTTGTTTTCCAGCATTGTGCTTTGTGTGCCTTATCTTATTTAACCCTCACTACAACCCTATAGGTAGGTACTGTTTTTAAACCTCACTTTAACAGATGAGCAGATGGAATCTGGGGATTAGATATCTTGACCAAGATTACAGTTATTAAGAGACAAAGTCTGGATTCTGTGCTTCAAATCCCTGGATACTTTTGTCTCCTAGAAGTGAGAACTGTGAGCTCCTTAGTGTTCCACCAGGAAGACAAAGAGACTGGGTAAGGATAGAAATGGGTTCAAGTTCTATATATTATTGGGGGAGATGAGGGCAGAAGAACTGACAAAAAAATTCTTGGGTTGGTTATAACTTACTCCCTCCAGATGCTGAGTCCCCTGTTAGATAAATTCTTCAAAGCAAAAATGTATTTTTTTCATAGAAGCTTAGGGTTACTTAATTATATCACATACATAGAAAACATAGCTCCATATTCTAAGCGTATACAGAGAAAAGGCTTATAGATATGAATGTGGGTGGTGGCCAACTTATCTAAGCCTTGAGTCACCATCTTTTTACCTGTATCTGTATCCTTTAAAGATTGCTGGTGAGAGACAGTAGTCCATTTCTATAATAAAAGAATATTATTTTGCAAGTATAGAGCAAGATTATGCCAAATGGTAGTACTTACAGTCCAAGGCACTTACATTGTCATCAACCTATGAAAAGCAACCCAAAATCTATAGACAACTGGGTGATTTATAGTAAAGGTCTTTTAATTATTACCATGTGGTGGTAAAAAGAGCAAAAATAGGATAAAACAGCTATCTTCATATGTGATTTGAATAGTTAAATGAGAAACAGAAAACACTGGGATATTTTCATCTCTGTAAATTTGTTACTAAGTGGCCTTTATATGCTTTTTGAAACCCTAATCTTTTCCCCATCTGGATCATAATATAATACATATAATATTCCACTAAATAAACACAAAGATGTTTATAGTACTATTTGCATCACCTCTTTTGGCAGGTTAGGACAATATTATATAAAAATACCACCTCAAGGGAAGATTAAATTTTGACAGAGGTGTCAATAACTCACATTTGGTCTTTGGCGTCCCTAATTATCATCCTTGCTTTCTCTGCTCTTCCCTTCCTGTCGTTCCTACCTTTCTCCAGGTATACAGAGCTCCTGCCTCTCCAGATTTCTCCTACCATGAAGATAAATGATCTGGTTAATAAATTAATGCATGTCTCTACAGATTTCTGTTTTAAGATTAGTCTACAGCATGACTGCAGAGCTAAAACAAGGCAATAGATATATGGAATCTCAAACACAAATAAAGGAAATTTAGAGGAAGGAAAATCTTACTGGTTTCCTTTAAATTACACCACCTACATGACACCATTTGCCCCACCTCTGAATGTTAAGGCTGATTCATAGAATTATCAGCTATAAAAAGATATTTAAAGTTTGTAAGTTCAGGAATAAACAGAATAATAGAGTCCAGTGGTTCTGAGAAGGCCTCTCTGCTATCCCAATAGCTCTTATACACAGAGAATTGCTAACTAAAATCCCAAAATTAGAAAGTGTCATTTCGTTGTCATCTTTTGAAAATGTACATACTCCCAAGCTAGACAACATTCTTAGCTTAATAATGCATCCAGCCAATATTTTCTAAGATACTTCTATGCGCCTGGCTGTGTGCTAGGTACTAAGGATACAAAGATATTTATGTAACGAGCTCAGTAATTAGGTGGAAACCCAGACATGTAAACAAATAACTAAAAGGCAATATAATAAGTTCTATAACAGAAGAACCGACACAGAGATGAGAGTAACTGAGTCACCTGGAAAAAAACTCTTAAAAGACTTCCTATAAAACACAACCTTTTAACTGGTTCCAAAATGAGTGCAGTTTTTGATCAAAGAAGTCAGCAAGCTTGAAGCTGCAGAGACTTGAAAGGACTCTACAAGAAAGGAAAGAATCAGATGTGTGCATAAAATAATCTGTTTGTTTACACCTTTTTGGGGTCCTAGAGAATAAAGTAACTCTTTCTAAACTCAAAGAACATTCATACATCTCCTCTTGATTATAGCTAAAGACATAAATATGCACTAATAAACCAATGTGCTAAAAATATGCACTCTTTTTACTAAGAAAACATGTACCAACAGAGATACGGGTAAATGTAGAAACTACTATATATGTCAGTAGGCATCAAGATAGAAAACAAAATTTTTAAATTGTGGTTTTATTATTTTTTACCTATGTGAACTCAGCTGTCTATTGTCTATTTACTTAACATTATTAAGTGCCTACCAATTGCCACGTGCTTTTCAAGACACTGGGGATTTATTAGAGAAGAAGCCAAAGTAACCGAACTTCACAGAGCTTACGTTCCTAAAGAAGAAGATGGAAAATAAACAAGAAACAAATATGTAATATATTCCAGGTGTGGCTAAGTTGAAGCATCTTGCAAGCAACTCAAGGAAAAGAAAACCCACGTGAAATACAGGGAAAATAGAAAAAGTTTAGATTTGAGGCATTAGAGACTGGCTGAAGCTGCTAGAACTTAAGGTGCCAAGATCACAGAGACTCTGAAACCACCGAGAGGTGGGCAGATATCGTGTTGGCCATTTTTTCTTGCGGGGCAATTCTTGGAATGCTGAAAACTAAGTCAGGGAGTTTCCATACCCTTACGTGTCTATAGGAGTCACCTGGTCCTCTGAATGTCAGGGTCTGGGGAACAGGCATGAGGAAATTATGCTGATACTCTGGCTACTGCTATTACTGTCCTTTGTTCTTTGTCAGTTACCCAGGCATCTCATGACTTCTGTTAAGCAGCAGAGAAGCCAACAGAGGCGTCTCCTGTCTCTCCTTCAAGGGCAGAGGGTGTTTTGTATCTCTTTCACCTTGCTGCAAAGGATGTTCACCTCTGGTCTGAGGGTGATAGTGTTTGTTGCCCTTTCCACAGAAGCTTGTCTTTTACTCTGTAGAGAAGTAGGGGAGAAGGTTCTTGGTAAGGCTTTCTGCCTTTTCCTTTTCCTCTTCCACAACATCTTTTGTTCCCCACTCCTGTGCCTGCATCAAGATGAAGGCTTTCTCAGGACTCCCACCATGCTCTTAATCTCTCTTGTAAGTACCTGGTGAGCTCTGTGGTGATCATGCACATACCTGCAATTTCCCCTTCTGACTGCAGCTCCCAGGGATTCTATGCACTCATGCTAAAACAAAGTCAGTTTTTAGCAATTTGTCAAAAATTGTAGTTGCATTCTTCTGAACACATTTTATGGGGTCCAGCATCTGCTGCAAAAAAGCAAATGCTCATAGTCTGTGTCTCCTTTCAGGTGAATATCTTCCTTTAGATTTTGGGTTAGTTGGCTGCCCCAAAACCTCAGCTCTCTGATGAATCCAAGAACAACTATGAATTTACAGATGATCTATTTTCTATATTATAAGGGTACAAAGGATGCCCTGACCAGCCTTTTACATCCTAAGCAAAAGCCAGAAGATAACTCTCCTTTTTTTAACCACTAGTACAATTCATCCGTATGTTGGGAAAGAAATAGTCACTTATTCCCACACCTTTTATAAAAGCTTATGCTTTTCTTGAATTTTACATATTTAAATGTTTTCACCAAAAAAAGACAAGTATGTGAAGTGATAGATATGCTAATTATCTATGATTAATGAGTTAATCATTTCATGTTGCATACATATATCATAACATCACTGTTTACCACTAAAATATGTATAATTATAATTTTTCAATTTACAACAAAATTTTAAAATAAAAAATATCTAATAATAACAAAATTCTTTGTGAGAAATAACCTAATACTTATCAAAATGTTGAGCAAATGCTTGTGGATTTACTCTGTCTAAATACTTCGGTCCATAACTAAGCACATATAGCTTTTTTATGTCATATACAAACAGATGGTACAGAAATGTCAGTCCTCTTATCATAAACTAGTAGAGTGACAGGCAAATTAATGAAACACATGTCCTTTTTTCTGATATTTAATGTACCAACATATGATAAAAGACTTTACGCTTTATAAAATCTTGTTTTCAATGGCAAATATATAACTGAAAGAAGATTGTCTATCAACAAATTTCACCAAATTGACTAAAGGTACTAATTCAATTAGCAAGTAGTTTTAAGTTAATAGCAGTTTATGTCCTAAATAGTAAATAAGTGACTCATATTTGGCCTAAGAAGTAGCTCATGGGATTTAAGATACAAAGATTAAGTGTGTTTCATTTGAACAAATGAGCTTGGAGAAAAGTACTTCTTGAAGAATATCTTGGAAAATAGACGACTTGGGGGGAAGGTTGATAAACATAGGTCAGTTTTCTACCAGATAAAGAGGCTTGTTTATAATTAATCTGATGGTGCTAAAAAGGCTTTTAATTAGATTTCTAACACAAAATGGGAAAGGATAGGTTTGGGGTCTGAAACACAAGAGTTCAGCCATCTGCTGCCAACTAGCCCTTGCCAACATGTGATTTGCAAGTTAAATTATGCCAGCTGATGACATATGGTGCTCCTTCTTTAAATATCTTACTCAAAATGAGTTTGCTGCTCTACCACTCGGCTAAATACTAAATGCTCTCAAATGCTGAGTTTGGCTTTCAGAAGAAACAATGGTTTCCATAGTTTTCCTTAGCAAACAAATCTAAGTAAAGGAACACAGATCTAAGTTATTGGCTATGTGTTATTGTCCTGCGGCATGATTGTGAGTTATAGAAATTCAGCCTCTGAAATGTTCACATTCAGAATTTACAAACTTAAAATTCTCCTCAGTTTTAGGTTAACGAAGTAAAGAAGACAAAAGTCACCTCCCTAGGTTTTGATCTGTATTTGAGGAAAGAAGAAAGATAATCTAAAAAAGTTAAAAAAAAAAAAAAACTATTTGAATCCATTGCTTCATCTCTAGAATGATGTGTCTGTCAGTTGGCAGAAGAGTTCAGACTGACTGACAGTGCAGTAGGTGTCAAAAATTTAAACCATCAACACACTGCAAAACAACGTATTTTTATTCCCAGTGGTCTAAAGCTGCAAAATTCTGTCTCTCAAGGTTTTGGGCTTTGCAATAGTTACAATAATTTGTAACTATTTGTCTCCAGAATTATTGATCCCATCTGGCTTGAATTAATGCCACATTTTTCCAGACCCTTTGATCTCTCAACCTCTACAAAATTCTCCATAGCAGTTTTAATAGGAACTAACTAAACACATCTATGTAAGCCAATAACTACACTTATGCTAAGACTATATAAGTACACACAAACACACACACATACATCTTCCACTAATCACACCATAAATTTCTCTACCTGCGATACATCCCTATTGTCACTTGAAGGTACGGATTTGAGGCTATTTGATTGAAAATTATGGTGCCTGTCGATCATAGTTTTTGTCTCAGCTGTTTGTACTCCCTATCCAGTCCTAATTTTGTGATCATGACTAAATCTTATAGGTATCAATGGCAGTTCTCTTTCGGTAAGACTTAGCCTCCTAACAAACTTGCAGCATTTTCTCCAGTTGTCACTATGGACTACATCGCTACAAAATTAAATTTAACTCCTTTTCTTTACTATATTCATCTGCCATAAAGCAAAGACTTTATGGATTTCCCAAACAAGGCAACATATCTTAAATATTGATGGCAGTGGCAGCCCATCTGGAGTGACGGCTGCAAAGCTGCCAGCTACAGTGAGGGAAGTCCAGCTGGGGTTGCGTGCTCCGAGGAGACGGTGGGACAGGAACAGGCAGGAGCTACACCTCCTGCCGAGTCAGCAGGGCAGGGCAGGAGTCCGTGCTCCCAGGCACAGCTGAAGCCTCCTGGGTGCAGCTCCAGAACTGGGCATCCCTGTGCTCTCGGGGGCCCAGGAAACCCCCCTTCCCCAACAGGATCAGAAGTGCCCGCTCCTACTCCCTGGCCTCTCCCCACTCCTGGAACCCACTCTGGTGAAGAGCAAAGTTTTAGCCAAGCCCAGGCGCTGTAGCGACCGCCAGTGTGTGTACCTCAGGCAGCACTGACACGGTCAGCCTCCTGCCGCTTCAGACCCCCGCCCCCAGACTTTGGACACTGTGTTAGTCTGTTTTCATACGGCCGATAAAGACATACCTGAGACTGGGTAAATTATAAAGAAGAGGTTTAATGGACTTAAAGTTCCATGTGGCTGAGGAGGCCCCACAATCATGGCGGAAGGCGAAAGTCACATTTTACGTGGCAGCAGGCAAGAGAGAGAATATGAGAACCAAGCGAAACGGTTTTCCTCTTATAAAACCATAAGATCTCGTGAGACTTATTCACTACCACGAGAACAGTATGGGGGAAACCACCCCATGATTCGACTATCTCTCCGTGGGACCTTCCCACAACACTTAAGAATTATAGGATCTACAGTTCAAGATGAGATTTGGGCGGTGACACAGCCAAACCATATCAGACACTGACAAGCATGGGAGGGAGGCCAGGGCAGTGACTGAGAGTGGCTCGACCCAGGCCTGCAGGCACACCTTGGCACAAACATCTTGTGCACTATGGACGGCATGTTGATGACATTGGGAGGCAGACGGGTTCCTGGGTGGAAAGGAGCAGGTCACCAGTGAAGCCCCACTTTCAAGCCAGGGATGGCCTGGAACCTGGGGGCTGGGCTGTTAGTTCCAGGTCGAGTCCGTGGCCTGGAGTGAGAACTTATGGGTGCTTTTTCCAGGCCCACCCATGGCTACCCATAAACCAATTAGCACACACTTCCTCCCTTCTGAGCCTATAAAAAACCCAGAATCAGCCAGATTTCACACAGATGCTGGGACTACCAGCTGTGGGAAGGAGCTACCCACTCTTGAGTCTCCAGAGAGCTGTTCTGTGGCTTAATAAAGCTCCTCTCCACCTTGCTCATCTTTCAGTTGTCTGCATACGTCATTCTTCCTGGATGTGGGACAAGAACTCAGGACCCATCGAATGGTACGACTGAAAGAGCTATAAAAAAACAAACAGGGCTGGAACATGTCCCCACTGCTCACCAGTCGTGGGCAATGAGAAGGAGAAGAGAGCTGCGGCCTTTTGGGGAGCCCAGACATGGGAGCCCCCCAAGCCAGGGCTGCGACACCCTCTTTGAGACTCCGGTCTCTGGCATTTTCAAGCTCCCAGGAGCCACTGTGTTCCCTCTGTCCAAATGCAGGTGCCTGCAGTGGAAGCTGTTTGTGGTGCATCTGATCCAGCCACAGGCTTGCACAGGAGTCAGTGCTCGAGCCGGCGTCTGGAGCTGCCTGCCCTGCTTCAGCAGCCGGCATGCCTGGCTGTGCACAGTGGCCAGACCCCACACTCACTCACTCATGCACCCTGTGCCACTCCATCCCCGACTCACCCTTGGCAGGCATGGGATCCAGGCTGGTAGCCTGAGGCAAGCGCAGCCTGCCAGGCCGAGTGGGTGAAATAAGCTCTGGGCCTCGAGCAAAACTCGAGCAAAGGTTCCACCAGCCACAGAAATTTCTAGCTGGAAAAGTGACACCCGATGGCTCCCATGACAATATTTCATTACTTTGTATCTCTGTGATACAGAGGATTTAAAAATAATGTAATCAACAAATAAGTGAAAATGTAGGTTGATGAACCAACACAAAAAAAATAAAATGCTGGTAGAGCATGAAATGATTGTTTTGGTTTTCCTTGGGAAGCCAAAGGCAATTGGAATTTCAGGGAAACTGACTAACATGATGTATTAGTCTGTTCTCACATTGCTATGAAGAAATACCCAAGACTGGGTAATTTATAAAGATAAGAGGTTTAATTGACTCTTAGTTCCATATGGCTTGGAAGGCCTGAAGAAACTTATAATCATGGTGGAAGGCACCTCTTCACAGTGCAACAGGACAGAGAATGACAGCCAAGTGAAGGGGGAAGCCCCTTATAAAACCATAAGATCTTCTGAGAACTCACTCACTATCACAAGAAAGGTATGGGAAAAACCGACCCCATGATTCAATTATCTCCACCTGGTCCCGCCCTTGACACATGGGGATTATTACAATCCAAAGTGAGATTTGGGTAGGGACACAAAGCCAAACCACATCACATGAGCACTGACCAATGAGAACATAGCTGGTTTAGAATAGTGTCTTGGACTGGGAGGCCCCTGCCTGTGTCAGGAATTAAAACTTTAATTGCTGGACTGTGACAAGAGACAGAAGTGAGGCAATAAGCGATAGGAGATAGTTTGACTTAGGAAAGATGTTGTATAAAACTAGTTCATAATCATTTTTATGTTTTAACAACCAATATGTTATATTTTTATACAATGGCTGAATATTAGTCCCAGTCTATAGATTTGCTTCCAATGTTCCCAATAGTGAATTTTTGTAACACACAAGGTTTCAGAAAATAAATCTTCATAGTTCTAAAGGATACACTAAATCCTGATGAAGTTAAATCTATCACATCTCTTTGTACCACCAGTATCAATAAAACACAGAAAAATCTACCTGTTCTAGAATTGAATATGAGATGCGTGTGTCTGCATGTGCTGGAAACGGTGGGTAAAATGTGTGCATTTCAGCGTTCTAAGCCCTTAAATGTATGATTCAAATGTCTCAGCTTTATTAGACTTTAAATACGAATATTGTCACATTAATTGTAAAGTCTTATTTCCTGTATTTAACTACCACCTTTACTTGCAGGCTTCTACCCCACCCTACCCATGGTATTTCTGATAATTCTTGGAGCGTGCTTGTGATGTGCTTATGAAGCAGAACAGCAGTTCACAGGAGCCACATGACTTGCTCTATGTGCTTAATGTCTAACTTTCCTACCCTTTTTATGACGCTCTACACAAGAGGTTTCTAGACTGTGCCTCACATGCTGATACTGCTGATGTTTTCAGGACACTGAAATAAACTGCATGGTTTCTTTTATAAACTTTATAAACTGTATGGTTTCTGCTGCTTCCTGACCTGGACTTCAGGTACCAAATTCTCTCTGTACTGAAGAGCGAAATTCTAATTATTAACCCTGTGTGGTACACTGTCACTAACATGGAGCAGGGATCCCTCTTAGGGGCCTGCTACCTAAGATAGCTCCCCACTCCCCATGCATGAAAATAAAGAAAAATTTTGAGTTCCTTCAAGGAAATTTCCAGGTACCTAGCTAGCTTTGGTAAGTAAATGAGCAACCTGATAATAAGCAAAAAGGTGATAATAACTTAGAACAACAGCCAAGGAAATTTGAGCCTCAAGATGTTTGATTCCCTTGGTAGCTAAAGGTAATATCTTAACATATATTCCTGAGTTGTTTTTCATAAACCTGGACCCCCACTGGGTAGAAAATGCCATCCACTGGCACACAGATCTCAGATAAAGGGGCACTGAGGGCTGAAATCTGACTGCTGTTCTTTGTTCTAAATTTCTTCCTGAGGGTCCTGGAGTCATGCCCACAGGCCAAACTTCAACATTCCTTTCTGCTAACCCCAAGACTTTAGACAAAGATTTGCTCTCTTAACCAATCACAAATCAAAGAATCTTTGAATCCACCTATAACCTGAAAGGCCCTGCTTCAAGATATCCCACCATTTTGGGCCAAAGCATTGTATAACTTCCATGTATTAATTTATCATTTTGTCTGTAACTTCTTTTTTGAAATTCAACCCTGCCTTTAAAATCCCTTGCTTGTAAACCATCAGGGAAGTCAGGTCTTAAGCATTAGCTGTCCAATTCTCTTTGCTTGGCACCCTGCAAATAAACACCATGCTTTCTCTTGCTGCAAACCTCAGTGTGGATGTTTGGTTTTACTGTGCCGGATAAGCAGACCCAGGCTTGGTTTGGTAAAACCAACCAGGCCACAAGGTGTCACTGCTTTTGCCCTTTCTCACACAGTCCTTTCACTTCTTCCTTAGCCACTATTTAGTAATGGTTTCCTCTGAACTCAAAACTATTCCAGAAGGGCAGTGAATTGAATGATCCACAATAAAATGTGACTCAGACTACACTATGAGTGTCCATCCTCTTGCACACAATGATTTACCTAAGCAAGGTCAATCAGAAGTTGACAAGGCTTCTGAAGTTGACAAGGCTACTGAAGGAGGGCTAGTTTTTCTCCTTCTGTGAGATCATAATTTTTTTAAAAACTGGCTAAGTCTGGACACTCCAGGAGCCATCTAGATGCCACACAGAGACAGTCTGTCTTGAGAATAAAGCCAAGAAGAGGCAAACACAGCATAATTTAGAATGGCGCTCACTAACAGAGTTGCCACCACGCAGTGTTTTACATTTGAACTGATTCAGAATAAATGGAAATACTTTATTTTCTCAGTTGGCCATTAGCCGCACTTCAAGTACTCAATAGTCACATGTGACAGTTGAATTAGACAGTTGAGATATAGAACATTTCTATCATCACAGAGTGTTTTATTGAACAGCATGATCTAAAGGAAGAAACTGAGTTCTAATTTCATCCTTTAAACCCCTGTATCCAGCATTGCCTAAAGCTGCATCCACTTTAAATTTCATTTTGATTTAAGCTAAAATAATGAAAGCATGTTTAACTTTTACTTGTGACCTTTAAAAATTTACAACATAAACTAGCCCTCGGTCCTTTTCCTCAGAACCAGATGCAGAAAACAGACAACCTTTTCATGTTTTTCCAGGTTTTTTTTTTTTTTCCATGAACTATCCTGAGAAGACTCAACCTCACCGTCTCCTTCAGAAAATACACACACACACATAAGCACACATTTACCATGAAAAGAAATTTGAGGCAGGGGTTTGGTAGGTGTTATCACAAAGCCAGTCTCTAGTGTCAAAGATAACCAAATCGGACACTAGTTTAAAGTAGTGAAAACAGATTTTATTCAGTAATTGTTAACAGTAGGAGAAAGAGCGGAGCTGCATTCTGATTTGCACAGAGGTGACTGGGCAATTTAAAGCAGGGAGTCAAGTGAAAAATTACAGTCAGTCAGTATAAATGCCATTAGGCCAGCTGTGTCTGCTGGCTGGCAACTACTGAAGTTAGGATTCTGTTCTCTTACAGAGCTTGGAAAACACAGACTATCCTTCCTGATGACTGCATTTCAAAGGAATGGCTTTCAGGCCCTTGAGAAAGACACTCTTGAATTGTATGAAATACAAATACATCTCAAAGAAACACAGAAAGGATTTCCAATTTTTTTGTTTGTTTGATAAACATTCTAAGAAAGGGAGACCTATCATCAGATATTGAGTAGAACAAAGGGAAAATTCTTTTGACAGCCCAGAGCTTTTCAAGACAGGCACTCAAAAGAGGGCTGGATTTGTCCCAGAGACAGGCCTTAGGTAGCTATTGGCCATGTTAAAGTTTGGTCAAGTCTCTCGGTAGTGCACGGGTTTGAATGGAGTATTTGTACCCAGAGTTCTTTGCAGTTCTCATTACCTAGATTTTTCCAGAATGCTCAGTCAAATGCAAATCATGTAATTTAATCTACAAGGCAACCTTCTGATGCCGAGATCATTATCCACTTTACAGATGAGGGAACTAAAGCTCAGAGGGCTTAAACTACTTGTTCAGGTCACATACCAAAAAATTAAGAAGCATATTGGAATCCAGATTTCTGACAAAATTGTGTTTTTCCTCCTATCGCCCATAACTTTGTCTCCCTACAGAGCTCCCTAATTTTTCATGCATGTTTCTGTAACTAGTTTTCACAGAAGTGCCCTTGCCTTTAAATGACAAAGCCTGTAAGATTTGAATAGGAAGGAAAAAAACTCAGAAAAATGTCAGAAACTTGTGATTAACAGGCAGCAGGTGTATAAACTGAAAGTGCGAGACTCACATCCATTGTCATCTCAGCAAATGGCTTGGTCCCAAAGTTGCTGAAGGGGGAAATCTGATTATCTTTGCTTCCCCAGAAGACTGATAAATCGAATTCAGACTGTTATTGTTCCAGATACAGCCTGAATCTTCCATAGGATTTTAATCAGCAGCAGCATTATGTAGCATATGGGAGTTATTTGGCTGAAAGGAGACTCCAACTGTCACTGGTACATCCGCTCAACATGAAAGGAAAATAATAATACAAAGTAATGGGGCTTTCTTATCTACAGAGCAGCTTCCCTCTGAGAAACTCTGTGGTTTACTGTACTACATCTTTACAACATCCTGTTACGTGGGTCAAGCAACTACTTGACTATAATCTTGGATGTTTACTGGCTGATTCCACCAACATTTTAATGTCTTTCATAGCTCTTTCTCTATCTCAACTTATAAATCCTGTTTCCTCTTACTTTTCAATCTCTTCTGTTCTCTTTATTGGTTAACTTTCACCCATCCCTTCCCATTTAAATTGTCTCATCCTTCATTCATCTTTCTCAGTACTATGTGTTTTCCTTTCCTATCTTTATTTTATAGAAGCCTAGATAGGGAAATTAGAATTCATACGACAATAGAGTCTTTAGTTCAGTTACATCATCCTGTTTTTCTACAGTATCGGGCAAATGTAGCCTTCACTTTACTTATTTACTCCCTTAGTCACCAAAACTCTATGGAATGTGTTTGTTTCAAGATTCGAAAGGGAGTAACACATGGTCTTTTCCTTCAAACATGGAAGACAAACCAACAGCTAATGACAATAGAATGTGATAAGTGTCATCTTCTTACTGAGCCCATTAAAGTACAGAGAAAACACACTAAGTGTGTGGTGCCTATGGTGGCTGATCCCTAGAGCCAGATTCCAGAGTCAGGCTCAGAAACCAGTCACCGGGTTTCTTTAAAACCCTTCCCCCATCTCTTGACCTTTGTTGACATGCCTCAACCCCCATCCCCACCCTTTTGCTCCACACACCTAGAAAGGTTGTGAAAGGAATATTATGCTTAACAGTCTTACACACACCTGAGGATGACATTGACTGAGCTCATCTGTTAACTCATGAGTCAGCATTTCTAGTAAACTAGGAATCAATCTAAAGTACCCCCCCACCCCACCGTGTGTGTGTGTGTGTGTCTCTCTCTGTCTCACACACACACACAAACACACACACTTCTCTTTTTCAAATTACAGGGAATATGAGCAATGAACAAATGTTTTGCTTCCTAATAGCACCAACATTTTTTTTTAAAAGTATCAAGACTCTCTTGAAATTCCTATATTTTGTCCAAACATGTAGTCAAAAGTGGTGAACTAGTCATTGCCAGTTTTATGCCCTTGGGTAAGAGATAAACTTTATCAAATGACAGCAAAAAGAGAAGGATGGTTAGAAAGAGAAATGATCACGAATTACACACTAATTCAGTAGTGGAGCCAGCTAAGAAGGTACTATTTCCTTTCCCTGTCTCTGGACCTAATCATCTAACTTCAAAAAGTCAACTGCCAAAAGAGAGAGAAGATGCCTCCTCTACCATGACATTACCATCAAAGTGTTCAAGCTTTAGAAAGGAATACCTAAAGTAATGAATGCTTGCAAAAGAAAATCTATGCTGTCTGTACTTGGGTGGGAATTCAGTAAAAAAGAATTCCTCCTTCACAATTAATAATGAAAAAAAAAACCTATTTCATTAACATCAAAAAAACCCTAGGAAAAATTAGGCAGCAAAACAATTCTGAGTGTCTCAGATAAGGCCTGAAAATCAGAATCTAGTCACTTGGGATCCAGAGAGATGTGACGCTGTTGTTGAGAGTTTATGCTGAGAGTAAAAATTAGGTAGCAAAAAGTCTCTATATAAGATTGTAATATAATCCTTTTTTTTAAACAGAAATAATAACCTTTTCTTCCTTTCTCTTTGTATAAACACAGTACCTAGGACATAATAGATGCTAAATGTTTATTGCATAGGTAAATAAATAAACATTATTTTCAAGCACTCCAAAACGAGATTTAAAATAATTAGCATAAAGAATTATAAACATAGAAAGCCTTTTAGATTCAAAAACCATAAGCATAGAACTAATAAAAACTGCATAGGAGAAGTTCAAAACCCACATATTAACCTCCCAATAAATTTGTTAATCTCGATTTGCAGTAACAACACTGTTATTGCAAAACCAATACATCTTAGGCTAATGGGCTAATTGCTTCAGCAAACATCTTAGAAGCCTCACTGTTTTCACACAATGAACTTTTCATTCTTGTTTACGTCTGAGTCTAAGGCAGGAGTGGGATGTGGAGGCGAGATACTCTGCACCATGAAGCTATTCAGGGACCTTGATATTTTAATCTGTTGGTTCTTTCATTGCCTATCACCTCAGGATTATCCACAGGATGCCCTCCATTTAGCCAGCAGATGATAGAGACAGGGAGCATGTGGTAAATGGTATGGGAGGTTTTGTGGTTCAGGCAGGGATATGGGCACATTCCTTCTGCCCACATTCCACTGGCCAGAACTCAGTCTTTGACTTTAAGTCAGACGGGCTGAAGAGCTTCCTTTTGATAAATAATAGGCATGTTAGTTTTTAAGCAGAGAAATGACCAAGATGAAAGTTGGGAAGTACATTGGCCATGCTGAGTAGAAGAACCTAGTGAAGGGATAAACTAGACACAGGGAGATCTGTTAAGAAGCTATTGCAGTAATGTGGGCAGAGAATGATGAGGCTCAGACTAAAGTAGTAGAAAAAGAATAACAAGAAAATGATGAATTTGCAACATACATTGACTGACTTGTCGACTGAACAGGAATGAACCAAGTAATATTCTTGGGTTTTACAAATTTATAAAATTTGGGTGGGCTTTTAGTTAACTGATGCATTTTTTTGTTGGTTTATTAGTTTTTTCTCAAAGGGATTATGATAATAAAGATTTAAATGTGAAGGAAGTTCATAGAATGCAGTGTCTGTGGGAAGTCAGGGAAAGCTAATGAAGAGTCAAGAAAAAACAAAGGGAATGTTTTGAAATTCTGTAGATCACATCGAGGATTTTAAACTCAATGTGTGATAGCAAATTAAGTGTCAAAAGAGGACAAATTATCTTCAAATATTTTCCCCTATTTGTTTTGTTGCTATTCTCCACAACTGCCAAACATTCAGATGCAAATAAAATGCTTGAATAAATAATTCCATTTTGGCTGTGGCAACTGGCTTACAGTATGCATTTTGGGAAATTCTGTAAAGATGTTATTTTTAGGGCTTTGAGGAGAAAAACTACCTGGGAAGCTAACTGGTAACCACTTAATCAGACAATTGATCTAATTGAAATAGCTTTAGTCACATTGTTGACATGTATTATAGCAATTAACTAATGCTCAATAAGTTTAAAATACATCATGAAAAGTCCATTACTTAGACAAATAAGGGTGCCATTAATCCCTAAAAAAAAAATCTACATTTCAAAGCCTTCCTGCAGCCTTTCTGCAATTTATGAGAGACAAGGACATAGCAGCAGTACCGAGCACAGGGTGATCCCTTTAGTGGTAGTAACAGCCAGAGTGATTAACTTAATGTGAGAGCATTTCCATTTCCTTGAGCATGTCAGCACCCCCCTCTTGAGTCCCACCTGGGGCCAATTACCAGAAAATTCCAGAATATTCATATTCTCTCTGTACTGGGTCATTCACAATAAAAACAAAAGAGACTTCCTTTCTTTAGGTCTTCTACACATTTAATTCTTTTAATGGAAAGAAACGAATTCACATACATCTCTCAGTTGTTCAATACAAACTTGGGAGAAGTACTTTTCGGCATCTATGCTGTTTCTAGGCAACAGGAACATTTTAAATAAAATTTTCATTAATTTCTCAACAATTATGCAATAATTTACACGTGCAAGTACTCTATCAAATACCTTTCATCATACATATTCATAAAGTAGAATTTGAAAAATACGCTCACACAGTAATAGATTCAGAGTGCAAAATGGAGCAGCAGAATTCCTAAACAGGAACATGTCATTGCTAACAAATAATAAAGCACCAAAGAATACTTGAGCTACTATGAAACAAGTACTCTTTACTTAATCCTTGTCACAACCAAATAACGTAGATGCTGATATTGATCTCTATTTAGAGATAAGTAAACTGAGGCACCAGAGGGTAAGTAACTTGCTGTAAGTCACACAGTTGGGAAATGACAGAGAAAATGCAGGGACTCGGCTGGCTGCAGGGTTCACCCTCTTAACCCCTTGATGTCTCTTGGAGCAGGAGCACAGAGAATATTTCAGTATCAGAAGCTACATATGTGGTTTGTAGGATGGGAAGGGCATGGGCAAGAAAGGAGCAGAAGGGGTGAAACGGAAGTGTTAGGCAAGGATCAGGTGATAAGATATTTGGATAATAGAAATTACAAAACTATTTGCTAATAATTCCAGTAAGAACAGTGATAATCATAAGGCTGTGGATTTGCACAAAACATGCAAAAAGGTAATGGACAAATCAGGGTTGGAGCCTCAGCCATCTGCATCTATTTCCAGTCTTTTGAAAAATAAATACTGTTCAAGTAACTCTCCATTGAGAGAGGCTGGGAAATAAAATTTGTTTACTTGTAATTAACGTTGGTCACCTTTCCTGAATTGTTGCTTAGATGCCAAAGATTTCTACCTACATCTTGCTTTCAGAATTTTCTGCCGAGGATCAAACTCATGTTACCGATTGCAGTTTCCTCAGTAAAATTGTCTGTGACATTCTCAAGACCTATCAAATAGAATGTTCTGCATCAACACATGTTTCTATAAGACCAATTTTCTCTTGATTAGAAAATACATCTCAGAATCTGTGTACACAGGCAAATGTCTTTGCCACTATTGCTCCTAGTAAGTTGCAATCACCCATGCACTATATCACTTTTAACAAAACAACTAATTTTTATTTCTGATTACTAGAGCATAGGTAATTGAGAGCTATCTGTCATACGCAAGATTTGAGCATACCAGAAATTTCATAAATGCATACAATGCACACATTCTTTTTATACTTTCTTAAAGTGGTTAGATAGAAAACCAAAAGTGCCCCAGGCTAGATTTCCCAGTGAGGAGATATTGATATGGAGATAAACATGAAGGAAGATTATCAGGGAATACTTTTGTTACTGAAATACCAGGGGCTCAGTCTAAGTCCCATTCCTCCCTCCACAGAAAGCCAATCGCTGAGACAACAAGTATTGCCAGGGAAGAAGGTTATTCAGATTCTGCAGCCAAGGAAAACAGGATATCGGTTTCAAATGCATCTCCCCAACCAACTAAAATTAAGGTTTTCTATAGCAGGACAGAAATGTAACTATGTGTGGGAAAACAGCAATTAGTTGGGGGATGGGGGCAAGGGAGAGGTGTTAGGCCAACAGGAAGCCAGGTGGTCAGTTAAGCAATCATGACCGAAGAGGGGTCTGGTGTCTTATTGTCTAGATGTGGTGATCTGGTGAGTTTCAGTTCACTGATACTCTCTGGAAGGTCTGATGTTTAGTTTCCTGAGAAAGGAACTCAGATAAGACAAATGTAAGTTTCTCAAGTTTGAAGACTGGAAGGGTCAATTTCTATGTTCATTCAAGAAACCATAAACATCAGTTCTATGGGACAACTGGGCCAGTATCAGTTACTCTTTTCTATTTATCAATTCCTCAATCATGGGGAATCTGGGCATAGATCTTTCCGGCTGCTTCATGCTGAGGAGGAGTGTTATGGGATACTATGATGTTTAATAACATAGATAACCCACATTTAAGTGTTTTGTTAAACCTGTTGAGTTAAAGAAGTTAAAGAGCCAAAGCTCCTCAATGTGTCAACTGTTTAGGCATCTGTGTGCCCATCCTTGAATTGGAGGGTCTGAACTAATTTTATTCTTCAAAATTGGCCCTTACAATCTCAAGCCCCCACTGTCTCTTCTGTAATAATCCCTGATTCTAGAGGAATTAAATAGTTTAATTTTTGGCCCTGTGTTTCATGAAAGCAATTCATTTTGATTGTCACCTTCTCCCAGGTCTACAGATGAGGCTTGCACTGGTGTCAGTGTTTTAGATTTACCCAGGAGTCAAAGCCCTGTAATTTAGCACAAAGATTAGTTAATAGGACATCTATCAAAAATGTTAAAAGCATCAATACATTTGGTCAAAACAGAATCACAAGTCATTGAAAAAAATAGTTATTCATTTAACCAAAGTGCTAATCAAAACACTATGAAAGCAATACAGAAATAAAATTACAATAAAGGAGCATTCTACCCACAATTTGCAGATAGACTACTTTGCTATAAAATAAGTTTCTGTCTATGATATAAATGATCAAGTATAGTATATACATTTATGCTAAGAATAGAAGACAATATTTAATGAAATGTTTAGAGACATAAAAAAGAACATTTAGAAATTAGTGTTTCAGTTTACTAATACAGCAGCGAGTCCTGTTGTTCTCTCTAACATATCACAAATTAAAACACTGTGATTTGGTGTCTAGTAGTTACCATCTACAGCACTTCAAACCATTGTATTAAAGTAGTTAGGTCACTGCTTGTATATACCTAATCACTAGCACTCTAGTGACAGAACTGTGACCAAAGCATGAAAAATGCGATCGGTCCTATACCAGACTTATCAATGTAAGACAATTAACATTTTTCTTTGTCATTAAAAAAGTAGTATATGCAAATATTAGTTTTTGAAATTCAAAATGAGGATAAATAATCTTCTTTCTCTTAAATACTATAAAACAAGGGCAAAGTAAGAACAAACAACGATTTCTTTTCAGCCATATTAAAAGGCATCATCACATATTTCCAAGATTGGCTTCTAGATACAATAGTGACACCTGATTAGGTAACTATCATCAATGGAATCTTCAAACCAGAGCCACACTTGTACATATTTTATTTTCAAGTGCACACATGAAGGCCCATCATCAGTAATAAAAGACTTAGGATAAAAATTTAAAAACCACTAGAAAGTTTCACAAGTTTTTATTGCTAATTAATCTAAGAGAATGTCACTAAATTTTAATAATGGTAAATACAACTAAAGTAGTTTGAGATAAATCCTATTTAATATAGTTTCCTTAAGGACAGGGCCAACATTCCTCAACATTAAAACTTTGTACCCATATCACAGTTTGTCCTCATTACTTAAGGAAAAGATCTGAAACCAACTCAAATTATTGATTAAATTAAATTACTTTGGAAAAAAACAATACTTAAAAATTTCTATTCTCACCTACTTTTCCAAATAACAAAATAAATAGTGTACTATTGCTGTTCAGAACTTATAAAAATAAGTCTTTATTTTAAAACTCTCTAGATCATTAGAAGTAAGCAAAACCAATCCAATTTTAAATGGCTGGTGTGCTCTATCTTTTTTTGGAGGCATGGCAAAGGTAGCTTAGGAATTTTAGATAAATAGAGCAAATGATGAATTGTTGGAAATGCATACGAAACAAAATAACTACTATAGAACCAAATAAAAGCCTTCCATTAGAAACTAAAAACGTCGGTGGCTTTATATATATATGTATGTATAGGTGAAACCCGAAGGAGAACAAACAGCAAATAAATGAAAATTAAAAGGAGAAACATAAACAGAAAATCCACTCTAAATTTTTCTCTTACTCAATTTAACATTGGAAGTTATGGTGTTACCCAGAGCCTACAAACACACACACACACACACACACACACACACACACACACACACACACACACAATATTTTGTTCCTGGTACACAAATTAATGTCTTAATGTCCACCAATACCACTATACATTTCATGCCATTAAGAAATTCACTTCAGGCCAGGCACAGTGGCTCATGCCTGTAATCCCAGCACTTTGGGAAGTCGAGACAGGAGGATCACTTGAGATCAGGAGTTTGAGACAAGCCTGGTCAACGTAGTGAAACCCTATCTCTACCAAAAATACAAAAATCAGCCGAGCATGGTGGTGTGTGCCTGTGGTCCCAGCTACTCAGGAGGCTGAGGCACGAGAATTGCTTGAACCTGGGAGGTGGAGGCTGCAGTGAGCTGAGATCATACCACTGCACTCCAGCCTGGGTGACAGAGCAAGACTCTGTCTCAAAAAAAAAAAAAAAAAAAAAAATTCACTTCAGGCACATGACTAGTAAGTACCTTGGTGTTAGTACTATCTACAAAGCAATATAAACATTTATGTGAAATTTGCTTGTACTGCTTTGTAGATAAAGCAATCTAAAAGCATGCTAAATCTGGCTTCATGTTAAAAAAAGAATTGTCAAACTGTTAATTTATTTCTTTACAATATTTCTTACTTTACCTTCATCAAGACTAAGAGCTTTATCTACGGGAAATGTTAATTTGCCAGATTTCTCTAATTTTCTATCAGGTTTTAAAGAATAGTCTACTATCTAATCTTTTTGTTTTTTTGTTTGTTTGTTGAGACGGAGTCTCGCTCTGTCACCTAGGCTGGAGTGCAGTAGCGCCATCTCGGCTCACTGCAAGCTCCGCCTCCCGGGTTCACGCCATTCTCCTGCCTCAGCCTCCCAAGTAGCTGGGACTACCGGCGCCGGCCACCACGCCCGGCTAATTTTTTGTATTTTTAGTAGAGACGGGGTTTCACTGTGTTAGCCAGGATGGTCTCGATCTCCTGACCTCATGATCTGCCCACCTCTGCCTCCCAAAGTGCTGGGATTGCAGGCGTGAGCCACTGTGCCCAGCCCTAGTCTTTTTAACCTTCTATTTTCTCTGTATGTACATGAAGGTGATAGAGAAACAGAAAAAAAAAAATTCATATGACATGCTTACACTTTCTGTTTTGTCCTAAATTTTCTTTTTAAATAACAAGTCATTTTACTATAGTACAAAAATTTACCATACAAGATTCTTTCTCATACGAAAATATTTTCTTTAACCTTCCTTAACAAAAATGTATCTTCATATCCATAACTTTCTCCTGTCTCTCTCCCATACTTACTGGTTCCTTTCTTCCTGATTTCATAAATAAGCTTTCCAAGTCTATAATTAGAATTAACCTTTAGGTAACTTCTGAATTCGACAAAATTACTATTTTTCTCAATAAAAACGTATCTTCTTTGGCACATTTTATATACAGAATTTTATATTAACTAGAATTCTTATTCTTGCTAATCTTAAATGTTAATGAAAACTAGGAGGCAAGAAATTCTGAACTATTTATTAGATATTAGCTAGCATTTTATAGATGAGAACAGTTCACACTTTTTAAAAACCTGTTTCCCCATATCACAACCCTTTTTTAATTGGAAGTGACCCAAACATTCAATGAGCATTAAAAATAATTTTAAGATTTTAAACTACACAAAAAGTTCACTTACAAGCATTTATCCCATTTACATGTTTTCAATTCTTTCATTTTTTAACAGTTTATTTAGCTTACTTCTGAAAACTGAGATATTAAACAAAGTTAATAATCATTTTAAGTCATTTCCTTGTTAACCACTTTTTATACCCTGTGAATATGAGGTGCTCACCTAAGTGAGGACTTTAAAATTAAATATATGGGCATTTTCCCTAGTAACTCAGAAGATTCAGCTGTTTTCATTAAAACAACATTAAATTAGACTTATTTGTCAAACGAATCACACAAACATAGATTATTTTACTTTGGCTGGGTTTACAGTTTTATAACCTTCTGTACCAAATCTTGACACCTCAAAATATCTAATAAAGACAAATATAAAACCCAGACAAAAATGTATGCTGACAATTCTGAAGACATTTCTACTTTTATTTTACCAATAATTTTAAAGCCATCTTTTTAATTGACTATTTACTCAAGTCACATGAACTTGAAAAATGCTTGGACATATTCACTTAATTTATGAGTGCTCTTTTATTTATGAGCCAATCTGTACCCTGTAAAAACAACACATAACATTTAGACCCATATACATATATACAAACAAAGACCCAATAGTTTTTACTTTAGAATTCTAGGCATGAGATAGCAATACAAACTCACTGGTTTACGAACATGTTCACACGGCTAACTTTTTTGCCCTGATAGATAATACAATGAAGGCTATGAACTAAAACTGGGTAAATCAGTTCCCATGGCAGTTTAACTTTTAAAGGCCAAAATTCCCCGGATTCCAAAGAACACTGGGGCCAAACAGCACCACAGAAGAGCATCACAGTACTAATCAGGCCCAACCCTGTTCAGAGCAGCAGCATAAAAGCATACATACATGGACCTCCATCCTGCTTTCCCATTCAACAGCAAAATGAATTCAATTGTAAGACAGCACTACAATGCAAAGACATCGCGATCAGACAAGATCAGCCACACTCAGAGTGGTATGGCTGTAGAATTTCCCCTGCTCTGTCAACCCACAACTACATACAGACTAACCCAAAGAATGCACCCATGTGGGCTGCACTCTGGGATCAAACCCTGACATCCCATAACTACATAGACATACACAAGCAAACAATCACCAAAACACAATCCAACTTCTGTAGCAATGAACAAGCCCCAAGAGTGTTCAAACTGAATCAGTCAAGGTATTATCCTCTCTCCATCAGTTTGGCTTGTTTAACCTGCAAACTGATATGCCTTTGGGATTTCCCAAATGGAGAGGAACCATTCCCACTGTCTAGTACCCATAAAAGACACTCACCTTTCTGTACATAGACGTCAAATTTCAAAGGCTGTTCTTCCTAGGCAATCAGGAACATGGTTGGGGTTGGCAGAAGTGGGCCCAAATGGGGAGAGACGAAAATCCACCTCTGGCCAAAATGGTCAGGTAGCTGCTTAGAGGGCTTTTGAAACTCTCCCAGCTCATGGCAGCTGAGTCACAAGCAATGCATTCACAGTCAGGAAACCAAAATTTGTTACCAAAACACCAGAAGTTTGGTCCCATTGCTCACTGCACAGAAAGCCAATCACTGAGACAAAAAGTATTGCCAGGGAAAAAGGCTATTCAGGTGCAACAGCCAAGGAGAGCAAAAAATCAGTCTCAAATCCATCTCCTCGACCAATTAAAATTAAGGGCTTCTATAGCAGGACAGAAATGTAACCATTTGTGGGAAAACAAGAATTAGGGAGGGGTAAGGAAGAGTAGTTGGCCAACAGGAAGCAGGTAGTCAGTTAGGTAATCAGGATGGATGAGGGGGATCTGACATCTCATTGTCCAGATATCGTGATCTGGTAAGTTTCCGTTCATTGATACTATCTGGGAGCCTTGATGATTGGATTCCTGAGAAAGGAACTGAGGTAAGACAAATGTAAGTTTTTGAAGTTTTAAGACTGGGAGGGCCAATTTCTATGTTTATTTAAAAACACCGTAAAGATCAGTTCTATGAGACAATTGAGTTGGCTTCACTTTTTGTTTTTTTTGTTTTGTTTTGTTTTGTTTTTGAGATGGAGTCTCTCTCTGTCGCCCAGGCTGGGGTGCAGTGGCGCGATCTTGGCTCGCTGCAATTTCCTCCTCACGGGTTCAAGTGATTCCCCTGCCTCAGCCTCCCGAGTAGCTGGGACTACAGGTGCGTGCCACCACACCTGGCTAATTTTTTTGTGTTTTAGTAGAGATGGTGTTTCACAATGTTGGCCAGGGTGGTCTCGATTTCCTGACTTCTTGATTTGCCCACCTCGGCCTCCCAAAGTGCTGGGATTACAGGTGTGAGTCACTGCACCTGGCCAAGCTGGCTTCACTTTTAGGGTCAAAGCAGCATAGGGCAGTGAGGAGAGTAGAGCTGAAATGCAGGTCCAATGAAAGTCCCAGGTAATCACATATCTCAGGACCGTGTTGCCATTCAGAGCTGTCCCAAGCTTCTGTAAACTTATGAAACACAAGGGTGTGTACATATATGTATATATATTTAAGATATATACATGCATGTATATATGTATTTAAATATGTATGTATATTTTTATTAAAACCATGCATGGTGACCAATTTTCTTTTTTTTCTTTTTTTTTTTTGAGATGGAGTTTCACTCTTGTTGTCCAGGCTGGAGTGCAATGGTGCAATCTCGGCTCACCGCAACCTCCGCCTCCCAGGTTCAAGCGATTCTCCTGCCTCAACCTCCCTAGTAGCTGGGATTACAGGCATGTGCCACCACGCCCGGCTAATTTTGTATTTTTTAGTAGAGACAGGGTTTCTCCATGTTGGTCAGGCTGGTCTTGAACTCCCGACCTCAGGTGATCCACCCGCCTTGGCCTCCCAAAGTGCTGGGATTACAGGCATGAGCCACTGTGCCCGGCAACCAATTTTCAATAATCTATCTTGCTTAGATATTATACAAGTATTAAAAGATTATCTATAACAAGAGTTAATAAGTCTAATATTAAAATTAACTAAATTATACTTAATTATACGATTAATTTTATAAGACATTAATTTTAATATCTTAGACTTATATTAAGATCTTAGACTTATAAGATAATTACAGCTACACAGACATGTAGCTGGCAGCTTTAGTTCTATACCCTTAGTCATGGTTTAAAATAAATAGAAAACAAAAAACTCACATTTCCAGGTGTCAAAGAGCTCTCCTTTCTTGTAGAAGGTCAGTGTATTCTTGAACAAACAAACCAACCGACAAATAAGATTTTCTGTCATCTCTAACCCAACAGAATAGGTCTCCACCTAAAAAGGATGATCAAATAGGCTATAAAACCAAATTCACAAACATTTCTGGCACATTAGGAAATAACTTCTGAGTTATATAAAAACCAAAACCAGAAACAAAAACAAAAGCACAGAATCCACGGGAAAAAAGAAACAAAAGAGTCAGCGAAGGTAAAGTTCCATTGCCACTTGGAATTTGCTGCAGAAGCCAAGAGAGGATGTTTGCTTCCATGCCTACACACAGATTGGCTCTGGAAGGTGCATTTACAGGGATATCTTGGTGGAACCTCTGATTTGAATAAACTTATGCAAAGATTTCTTTAACTCATTGGCTAAAGGAAGACTGTAAGACTGGTTCATTAACTCTATAAAAAATAAAATAAAAATGAATGCCTAAACTAAGATCTCCTTCAAAGAAGGAACATTCCCAGCTTTGCAAAGTTCAACCTCAGAGCAGGCTGTTCTTCCTCTGATTACTTCTTAATGAAAGCTGTACTGGCTCAGAGATCTACTTCCATCTGTACTGGCCAGATACCACAAGCCATTCTGTTCTATCTTTAGCCATGCTCAGCTGCCTTTCTGGATTATTCAAGTTATCTCTTGAAATACCTCTCATTGTTTTTGTTAGTACTTTGGTTAAAACTTTTTGTTTTATTTAACTCTTTATTTTTCTCAAAATGAACATTCTTTCATTTTGCAGAATGCAGTGTACATAAATTTCCTCAAATGCATGTAATGTGTTACACTAGAAACACATAGTTTCTCCTCTTTCCATGATTGCTGTAAATCAGAAGTAGAAATTAAATGGCTGAACTCAATCTATTATGGGCTAAGAAACATAAAAGTATTAAAACTCTGTTCAAAATTTATTCTTGGTGGAACCAAGAATCCATGAGCCTCTTTTACATAGTGTCTACTCTGGTGGAAAATCACCCATGCATGATGACTTCTCCCCTCCATCAGTCTCATTCTGACAAATCAGAGCAGCATACTGGCAGCTACAAAAGAGAATATATATTGAATCAAGGAGTATTTTCAAACTTTTTCTCTCTTAGTTGCTTAGGGAATTATATCCAGTAAATAATAAAGCACTCCACAACTTATTCTAAAAAATTTTCTGATTTAAAGTTTCTGACACAGCATGATACGGTTGATTGTGCCAATGGATTTTCCTCCTTAAGTCAAGAAAAACTGCACAACAATAATTACCTAATTAAGATTTGCATAATTATGATTACTAAATCCAAGAGAACTATTGTAGTAACAATATAACAACTTATCTAAGGCCAATTAAGTTGTGTTTCCATTCTGCTTTAATTTATTTTAATCCAAAAGAGCAATAAACCTGATATGTCTAGTTGATGACTTAATTAACTACAGTATATTAAGAAGTTTGAAATTGTTATGATGCTGAAAACCTCAATGCCCTTCAAGGGTGGCATCTTTATTCTTTATTTCTTAAATAGTTTAGAATTTTCACCATTTTCATAAGTAAGGCTATATCCCTAATTAATATTAACGTGCAACAGAACTTAATGATTCAGCGATGTTTGTTTAATAAGGAGAAAGGGAAAGAACAGGGTAATGTCACTTTCAGTGAAATGGAAAGAATTAGTTTTATATCTTTGACAGTCAGATTGGAAAAGCAGCAATGCAAAATTGAAACTCTGTTCACTTTATGAAAGGAGCAAAAGCATTCAAGGACATATAAAATAGGATCAAAGAGAAGGTGTGAGATAGATTTTATCCGAGGTCTTTGATTTATGTGTTTTGAAAACATCTCTAAGACTATTCTTGAAGAGAAGGACAAGACAAAAACATGTTAAAATCTTCAAGTGGGTTTCATAGTTCAAAATCAAAGGCACTCCACACAATTACAAAGAGGAAAATCGGAAAATCACAGAGATATATCAAGCTAGAGTGGCTTAATTAAAATGATAAAAATATGAAAACTTTCTTTTTTTATATTCTTAGTTTTAAGAAATGTATTGGTCTCATGGCTGCCAAACATGTGGTCACATGATCACTCATGTTTTGTCAATAATACTACGCAATTTGAGAAGCTGTTAATATCCACAGCTATCCACTCTCCTTTGAATCCTCAATTCTTCTTCCCAATATTTTTTATCACAATTAAGTATCTAACTCTTTATTCACCCATTTTTTACATCTATCTTAATTTACCAAATAATTTTCTTTTCAGAGATAAATTGACATAGCTATTTCCTTTCATTTTAAGAATATTTGGCCTCAATATGGTGATATATTCAGTTTAAAAAACCTAGAAAAATTTTCTATTAAATTCAAGAGATCTGCATTTACTTTCTTTAGAACCATCAATGTTTAACATTTCATGAGGATGATGGGTTCACACAGTTTTATAAAGCTGTCATCCATGACATTTTAAAGAGATTTGACCTGAGCATTTCAAGTTATGAAAAAAACTTTGATATTTAACTAAAATATCATCAAATGGGACTCGATTTAATGTTTTTATACTTAATTATTTAATATCTAGACATCTCTAAGCATTTACTTTTCTACTTCCTATCCCTGTACATCAGTAGTTCTTATTTTTTTTTCCATCCTAACATCTGTTTACATGCAAAATAATCACACACCCAGGTATTGAAGTTGGGCTGTCGATAAAAGCTGGGATTATACACATTTGCTAATATGGGCTATCACTAATTTCATTTCTTTCTCACAATGAGAAAGTAAATACGTGAGAACTGATGTCCTTGATTATCACCACTGGAATGCAGCAGATGTTTACAGAGAAACCCCATTGCTCATGGGGTTTCTCCTTGATATTTTTAGTCCCTTTGATATTTTTACTCAGAACATGTCAGAAAAATACAATACCCACTAAAATAGGAAATTGTCATAATCACTGACTCCCCAGACAGAAGCTTCTTTTACAGAAGAATAAACTGATTCTTTAGAAATAAAAGTTACTTTCCCAAATTGGTAATACAGATTTTGATTAAAAATGAATGGCTTTCCTATACTACTAAGCTGGGCTTTATTATTTCTTTCATTTTAAAGATCCCTTGGTATGCTGGATTTCTCTCTATAGCTCCTTCTTACTTTTACTTATAATTACTGTGTGTTATCCTTCAGTTTCCTAAACTTGAGCAACTCTGGCTTGTGAGCTTATTAAAAAAATTTTAAGGATGGATGATCTTTATCAACAGCAGGGTAGTATTATTAACATTACCCATTTAGCATATATAAGCATTTTTCGAATGACCAAATAATTTAAGATTTAATGTTCAATTATATAGTCAAAAGCTAGTGAGTCACACCACCTTTTGCCTTCTTATGCTTACTTTTTTTTTTTTTTTTGAGACGGAGTCTTGCTCTGTAAAGATTGTCTTAGCGTGGGAAGAAGTTCTCAGTGTTCACTGTAGTCCCCTTCCCTAAGGCAATCTCTTCTTTTGTTTGTCAAGACTTCTGCATTTCTTTCTTGCCTCAAGGAAACAATCTTACTCTATAACAGTTAGAGAGGAAAAATAAAATAAAAAACTTTCTGATTCGAGAAGGCAATTGAATAAATAATCTGTAAAACTTTTTTTTGTTACAGAGTTTCAGGAATAATTACCATTTTTGAACAGCTTCTTCATTGAAGCATATTTCTTATAGTTTCTTAGTCTGAGTTTGGAGCTCAACGTCTCTCATCCTAAACTCCAAATCAAAGAAAACGGGGCACCAAAGCACATAGATGTTTAGAGTTTAGCAGTTTTAACATACAAACGACCTTCAGACAATTAGAACTCTTGCATTTAGCTTATAATTCTTAAAGTCCAATTTAAGATGTGTTTAAGACTTACAGAAGGACGCTACTGAAATGAAGATGCAAAATCTGAGCCTAAACTTTTTCTAATTATTGTCATTAAAACATCAATGGCTTTGCTTTCATGGCCCTAATCTTATGGAACTCGATCAATATTAAGTTCAGCAAGTGTTTCATTTCTAGTTTACATGTAGTTACAATAACAGTCAGCAATTCAAAATGATGTTTGTCAACTCTAAAAACAGTGTGAGATTTTGTGTGTTTATTTACTTTTATTATAGTAAAGGTTCATGATAAAGACATTAAACAGTTAAAAATATCAGTGTTAAAATATCCAAACATTAACTTACCAGTAATATGTTTGAATTAAAACTAAAGTTTATCTTCTCTTGAGAGTTAAAGTATTAATTCGAGCATATGCTTGATAGATATTAAAAACTATCATGGCTCTCTTTCTCCTTTCCTCTCTTGTTAAGAAAACATGAGCTACTTCACCTAAAAGGTATTTCTATTTTGCAAAAAAAAAAAAATTTACAATCCTTCACATCCAATTTGTATTTCATAAAATAATTTCTTCTTTCTTCTTTCATCAAACAATTAATGAATACCTATTACATAAATGCTATGCCTGTCCTCATGGTGTTTACAGTCTAGTGCTAATCATGGGCATAAAAAGGGGCAACAGGTAATTTGAGACGAAGAGGAGTGTTAAAGGAGACATTAGGAAAGTACATTTGACCTGAATTCACAGCCAGAAAAGGCTTCCTGGAAGAGTTGGCAATCTGAAAAGAGAATAGCAGTTAGCCAGATGAGAAGGTGAGAAAAATAGCTTCTAGACAAAAAGAGTAGCATGAACAGTATACGGGAGAGTCAGGAGGAGAAAAGGGAGAATGAGAGAATGAGAGAGTGAATAGAGCATCTAAGGAAGTGAAAGAATACAATGAGGAATGAAGCTAGAGTGGAAACCAGTGGCCTCAATACACAAGAGTACTGTGGTTTGAATGTCCCCTCCAGAACTTATGTAGAAATTTAATTGCCATTGTGACAGTATTAAAAAGTAGGATTTTTAAAGAAGTGATTAAGCATAAGGAACATGCCTTCATGAACAAATTATGCTATTATCTGGAGAGTAGTCTCTCTGTAAAAGGGTAAGTTTGACCCCCATTTTCTGTCTCGCATGCATTTTTTCTTGCCAAGTGATACCTTCTACCACGTTATGACACAGCAAGAAGACCTTTACCAGATGCAGTCCCTCAATCTTCAATTCGCCAGCTTCTAGAACTATGAGCTCAATCTCTTTTTATTTAAGAAATTGTCTAGTCTGTGTTAATTCTCTTATAACAGCAGAAAACAGGCTAAGACATGGAGCTTTCATACTATGTTGTAAAAAATGGTTTTGTTTTTATCCTAGCATCAATTAAGGGTCACTGGATGATTTTAGATAGGAATGTGGCATGATTAGATTTGTGGTTTACAAAGAGGGCATAGCTGCTTGTTTCACTGCCAGTCCAGCTTCAATACAGAGAATGAATTTGAAGGGAGTCATCCTGGATTTAAGACCATTTAGAAGTCTGTTGCCAAAATACAGAGAAAAGACAAAGCTGGACTAGATTGAGGAGTGTTGGTGCATATGGAGAAAGATTTATAAAGAAATTCAATTTAATGTGCTTTTCAGGTCCCTAATGATTTGGGGAAGGGAAGGAGATGGAGGAAGTAAAGATGACTTTGACTTAGGCAAAGGGTGCGTGGAAATGACATTAAAAGAATGGGTAAAAGAGTGCACCTTTGAAGGCGCAAACATGCTTTCAGTCTGAGACATGTTATATGTGAGACGTCTATGGATTACTTGTGTAAAAATTCAATAGCAGAGTCAGGAATATAATAGAGATTTTTATAATCCACTGAGGGAATTATCTTGATTGCACAGGATAAGAAATACAATGGTAATTTTTAGGATTTACTTTGGGATTGATCCCAATTACTAAGAATAAAACCCGAGAAGCCCCAATAATTAAGGAAAGAGCATAGAGTAAAACCTGAAAGGGAATTTGTAAAGAAATAGCCAGACACTTAAGAAATATAAAATTTAACAATATAGTATTATAGAATCCAAGGAAAGCAGATGCCATATTTGATAGGTAAAGTAATGGCTCTGAAATGAGATTCACATTCTAAACCCCAGGAACTGTGAATATGATACATTATATGACAAAAGGGACTTTGCAGAGATGATTAGGTGAAGGACCCTAAAATGGGAGATTTAACTAGATTATTACCTGGGCAATCCCAATGTCATCACAAGTGACCTTATAAGAGAGAAGCAGGAGAGTTAGAGTCAGAGAAAGGGATCTGGTAATGAAAACAGAGCGGGTGGTGTATAAAAGAGACTGGGAGAGAAAAAGAGATGAACCAAAAAACTCAGATGGCTTCTAGAAGCTGAAAAAAGGCCAGGAAATGGATTCTCCCCTAGAGAGACGAAATGCGGCTTTGCCAATTCATTTCAGACCTCTGACCTCCAGGATGTAAGATATATTTGTGTTGTTTTAGGCCACACATTTTGTGGTAATTTGTAACAGTAATAGGAAACTAATACCCTATATGAATTGACTTAAGCAATAGAGAATTTACTGATTACTTTTAAAAGAGAAGGAATCTTTTCAAAAAAAAATTTGTGAAATTGCAGTGTTTTTGAGTAATTAAAAAGAATAAGTCATCCTTTTGAATCTTCATTGGTTACATCGCTGCCCTGGGTGTTTCGCGTTGCTAGCTTCTTCAGCTCCAAGTCTGGGATATATGAGGCAAAAAGAAAACCCAAGGAACTCTCCAGTATGTTATTTCTTGGTCTTAAGATTCTTAGCTGGTCTACTTTCCTCTTTCTACCTTTCAAAGCCTTCTTCTGTTTTTTATACATAATGTTCAGGGGTTTTAGCTGTACTTGGCAGGAAGAATAGGGAGGAAAGCTCCAAAATTGGGTTCTTAATTTTATCTTTTTAAATTTTTGTTTATCTGTGCTTTCCAATATTTTTCTATTGGACATGAATTACTTGTGTTTTAAATAAATGTGTTTTTACATCATAATGCCTACATTGGTACTTTACATGGTACATAGTAATTAATATGCAAATTGAAATTTATTTTGCATAGAATACAAAATCTGAAACCAAGAAAAATAAACAAATATGATAAATGTTCCCAATCCTATTTTATCTGTGATCTGTGACTCATCAATGACATCACCTCTCAAATGGAATTTTCTTTTTTTTTGAGACGGAATCCCGCTGTGTCGCCCAGGCTGGAGTGCAGTGGCAGGATCTTGGCTCACTGCAAGCTCCGCCTCCCGGGTTCACGCCCTTCTCCTGCCTCAGCCTCTGGAGTAGCTGGGACTACAGGCGCCCGCCACCACGCCCAGCTAATTTTTTTTTTTTTTTTTTTTTTTTTGTATTTTTAGTAGAGACAGGGTTTCACCTAGTTAGCCAGGATGGTCTCAATTTCCTGACCTCGTGATCTGCCCGCCTCGGCCTCCCAAAGCGTTGAGATTACAGGCGTGAGCCGCCTCGCCCAGCCTCAAATGGAATTTTCTAAAATGCATCCTATACAAGGTGATTTTCAAAATACTTAACAACTGGTATGGCACAGGCAGAAACTAATAAAGTGATTGTCTGGCAGTCAGAAAGGATGCTGGCTAGTACAATATAGTGAGGCATATCAGTCCTACAATAGAGAAGCTGATAAAATTCCTAAGAAAGAAAAGAGTTCCATGGATGATGACCTTTGGGAAATAATGCTTATCATTTCCTTCTCTTCAGAATTCTTTTCAGAAAAAAAAAGTATTCTTAGCTTTATTTAATCTAGATTTTTATTTTATCATGAAGTTGTTTTCTCATCACACCCACTCCCCACACACATATTCACAACCTAGAGAATACAATTTGAAATGTTCTCTCAAGTGCTTTTATGCTGTTATTCTGCCAACCCATTTCTTGTCCGTATTCTTTTCTTCCAGTTGATAATTATTGCCGCTCAAATAGAATTTATTCTGTAAAATTACTTATTCTATATCCTAGTGTGTTTAAGAAAAATGACACATCAAAAATTAAGTCATATGAGACATTAACACTTCCCTGGATCTATGGATACATTTATTTACTGGTGCATATTAGCAATAAGTAAATGCAGCATGGGCCGGGCACAGTGGCTCATGCCTGTAACCCCAGCAATTTGGGAGGCCAAGACGGTCAGGTCACCTGAGGTCAGAAGTTTGAGACAAGCCTGGCCAACATGGTGAAACCCCATTGCTACTAAAAATACAAAAATTAGCCAGGCATGGTGGTGCATGGCTGTAGACTCAGCTACATGGGAGGCTGAGGCGGGAAGATTGCCTGAGCTTGGGAGGCAGAGGTTGCAGTAAGCCGAAATTGTGCCAGTGCATTCCCGCCTGGGCTCTGTCTCAAAAAATAAAATAAGTAAATTTGGCATATTAGAAAAAGGTGAAAGTAATGAGTTCAGAGCTAAAATCACAGATTTTCTGCAATATCATCCCTTCTCTCTTGGTAAGAGCTCCTTGTGGAGAATTCTGCAGCTGTATCTTGGCTCAGATAGATACTACAAAGTTTAGTAAAAATCTGCCATCATCACAAGAAGAATAAGTGAAGACCTGTGTACCAAGTACTTTATGCCTCTTGTATGGAGTAAGGTTGAATAAGAATTATATGGTGTTGATCTAATTCTTCTTTCATATTTGAAGTGATATTTTGTTTTTAGAGAGAAAATAAAATCTAGAAGCTTTCTCGGTCCCTCTGCTATTGGAGCTGTGATAGGAACCAACTACTGTCAGACAATCATATTGTCATTATGTCTATATCATATTGCAACACTTAGATAACCTATGAAAGGAAGTTAACCGATGTGTAATGAGATATTTCCAGAGGTAATTATATCAAAGAAGAACAGATCTCTTTATGGAAAGGGATCCAGCAGATAATGCAAAACTATTAGCCAATAAAGATAAGGAAAGAGAGAGGAAAAACCACAGTGTGTCATTGAAAAGGATGTAAAATTAAACTTCAAAATACATGAAGATAACTAACATTACAAATAGGCAAACCAGCCAACCAAACCAAACCAAAACTAGATATTACAAAATGTGAACAGGTAGATATAAAAATACACCAATCAATATTTTTGGAAATTGAGAATATGATCATTGAAATTAAAATTAATAAGCCATATATAGTACTGTTGAATAAAGGAATAATTCAATTTAAAGATAATAATAGGAGAAACGAGAGTGTGGCATGAACATGGGGAAGCAAAATAAAACAGGAAGTATGCGACCATGAAGTGAATGCTTAGTCTCAGAGATCAGAGGCTTAAAGAATAGGATAGACTAAAACGTGAAAAGAAAGAAAAATAGTATCCCAGCATGCTAAAGAAAAGAAAAGTTCCTCAACACCCTTCCTGGTTATTTTTCCAATATAATACACAGCTGGGCCCACCTTACCACATCCTGTTTGACACCAACTTTATCAAATTTTCCATTAAAACCAAACTGGACTTAGTGTAGTCAATGATGGACTGTCTGTATGCCAAGTGTATCCCTTGTATAACTGATTGTGTAATGGCTGAAATTGGGAAATTAGGGCAGAAGTATGGAGCAGCTGTAAGGATTGTTAAGGATCCAATATTAGAATGATTACCGGGGACACACAAAGAAACCTATGCAGATGACAGCTTAGTACAGAGAGTAACTCACAAGTGTTACGTTGTGTCCTTGGTTGACCAGGACCTTAAAAAAAGAATCCAAAAGAATCCTGGAGTTCCTAACACGTACATTTCTAACCATAGATAAAACTCTGAACAGATGTCAGGTGACTATGGAGCCCCTAGGTTCTGCCTCTTATAAGACAAAGTTCCTCTGCCTTTCTTCAACCAACTTTCTATTGTTTCCAGTTCATTAAACATTCAGTAGCATGATATATTCTTCCATTTACCCATTTGCTCTGTTATAAGCTGAGTATGGTTAAATATGCTCACTTTCTGATGCTGTTTTGAAATTGATGTTTTGTCTCATTTAAAAATTTTAGGCCAGGCACAATGGCTCACACCTGTAATCCCAGCACTTTGGGAGGCCAAGGCAGGTGGATCACCTGAGGTCAGGAGTTCAAGACCAGCCTGTCCAATATGATGAAACCCCATCTCTACTAAAAATACAAAAATTAGCCGGGTGTGGTGGCATGCGCCTGTAATCCCAGCTACTTGGCAGGCTGAGGCAGGAGAATCACTGGAACCTGGGAGGTGGAGGTTGCAGTGAGCAGAGATCATGCCATTGCACTCCAGCCTGGGCAACAAGAGCGAAACTCTGTCTCAAAAAAAAAAAAAAAAACAATTTAAATAATGATCGAAGTGTATAGAATCCTAGGAAGAATATGCCTTATACTTTTTTCTAAGTTCTGTTGCACAGTGTGGTGAATATGATTAATAATAAAGTATCACACATTTCAAAATTGCTACAAGAGTAAATTTGGAATGTTCTTAACGTCAAAATGTTAAGTATTTAAAGTGATGGGTATGTTAACTAACTTGATTTAATTAATTATTCGACATTTTATCCATAGATTATGATATAACTTTGTAACCCATAAATTTACACAATTATAAATTGTCAGTTTACAATAAAAAGTGGCATATTTTTAGAATTTTAAAAATAGAGTATTCACTACAAACAGAAGGCAGAGGTTAAAATATTTAGAAAGAAAAGAAGGAAAGGAAGAAAGGAAAAAAAGAAGAAGGAAAGGAGGGGAGAAAGAGAGGGATGAAGGAAGAAAGAGAAGAAAGAAGACAGTTTGCAGACACAGGAAATAGTTGAAAATTTACAAGATAGATTGAATAGGACTTTCTCCACCACTTGTTTTCCCTGCCAAAAAAGGGAAGAGAAGTAATGACAGAAGAGATAATGACTGATTTTTTTTTTCAAAATGAAGAGAGGAGATGTAAAATCAAAAGGATATCCAATTCCAAGGCTGGAGTTTTTAAAGTTCACCTTAGAAATGACATGGTAAAATACAAATTTGAAAAGTTACCATAAAGTAAAAACAGTTACTTACCAAAGAATAGTAACTGCATTGGCAGTAAACTTTTTAACAAAAATAAATAAATGCTAGAAAATATTGGTATAACATCTTCAAACAGCTGAAGGAATTCCACACTAGTGCAACCATCATCCAAGAGTAACTACATCTGGCAATGCTGGAGACTGAATTCTCTGAGACGGTCTCCTACAAAAACATAACTAAATGATGAATAACATATTTCTCAGTGCATGCTCAGCTCCAGGAAGCAGGGGAAATCTGTTATCCCTCTCCCAAAAGGACTTGAGTAGTAGTTGAAAGTGCGTGCTGTGAGAGGTAAGCAAGTGAGAGAAATGCGATTGCTCCTCAAGCAGGTGGCTTTACTATGAGCAGGTGCCCTTAATATGAGCAGGTGCCCTTAATATTACTGCAATTATACCTTAAACTTTTGGCTGACAGTGAAGTAAGGAAGCTGAAGCTGAAATGCCTATCTTAAGCTAGGATACCCTAAAAGGTCCAACTAGATCTGTGATACTCCAGAGACCCTTAACAGAAACAAAAGCTGAAGAAAAGCATTCCCAATGTAAGGCCACACTATTCCCAGACTAAAGTCAATCATAAGTTTCTAAATACTATCAAGCAAATAAGGAGACAAGATATCATGAATGAGGCAGCAGAAAAAAGAGAAAAAAAAGATTTAGCCCATAAAAACCTTAAGATAATTAAATTGTCAGACGCAAAATGTAGAATAGCCAATGTATAAAAAAAAAAAAGCTGAATTCACTGATGGACCAAGCCACAAGAGACTTTCATAAATGAGCAGGAAATTCTAGAAAAGCAACCAAATGGAACTTCTAGATATTGAAAATTTAATGGCTGAAATGAAGTAAAAACTAATTAAACAGGTTAAATAGCAGAAAAAGCATAGCCAAAGAGTTAACAGTAAAGATATATCTGAAAAATTACCCACAAAACAAGAGCAGAGAGCCAGGGGAATAGAAATATGAAAATGGAGATATACATGTAGGATTGAATGAAAATGTTCAATCCAAAGTACCACTCTGAGTAGAGTCCTAGAAAAAGAGAAAAGAGGGAATAGAAGAGAGGCTTGCCAATAAATGTACGAACTTAGGAAAAAATGATAAATTTATTAAAAATAGAACTACAAACTTTCAATTAGGAAGTAGAAAGTCTGAACAGTCCTAAAATTATTATAAAAATTGATCAATGCCTAAAGAAAGAAAAATTCCAGGCCCAAGTTTTAACATGCAAGCTCTAATATACTTTTGATGATATTATATCTTCAATCTAATATAAAGTCTTCCAGATAATGGAAAACTAGAGGGGGAGGATATTGCCCAAATCATTCAATGAGACCAGTATAACCTTGATACATAGACATGATAAGGAGAGTTAAAAAAAAAAAAAAAGAAAATGACAGGCCAGCCTCTCTCATTCATAAATATACAAACAAAAGTTTTAAAGAAAATATTGCCAATCTAAATTTAAAAATTTATAAACTATACAATCTACTAAAAGCAATTTATCATTATCCCAGAAATTCACAAATGATTTATTACAAATAAAATTACAGAAAATGGATGTAAAAGCATATGATCATCTTGAGAGAAAAACTTATTTGAGGAAAAATAGACACTGATTCAGAATAAAAACTCTTTAAATTTTAAAAACTCTCCAAATAATTTGATTAAAAAACAGACACTGATTCAGGAGAAAAATTCTTAGCAAAATAAGAAGGGAAATGAACTTAACGTGATAAAAGATATCTGCCAAAAGCCTATAGCAAATGTTATTGTTAATGGTGAAATATTAGAAGCATCTCTTTCAAAGATAGAAATTTAGCAAAGAATTAATAGTTTCAAATTAACATTCAGTTGGAATGTCTAACTAGCAGCATCAGACTAGAAAAATCATGGGAAACTAAGGATGTGAAGGGAACAGACAAAACATATTATTCACAGAAGATATAATGGAGAAAACACAAAATAATCTATCTAAAATTTGTAGAAATTGATTAAAGTAAAGCCAGGTGGTTTGTTATAAGATTAATATGCAAAAATTATTTGTGTATTTATATCTCATCAAACAACAATTAGGAAAAAAAGTCTCGTATAAGTGACATTTGTGACAGCAACAAATATTGTAAGAATCCTAGGAATATACCTAAAAAACATTTCAAAATTATATGGAGAAAATTATGTGAGCATTAAAAGATATTCCAAATGATTAATGAAAATACTACATATTTTTGAATAAAGAGATATTCTTAATGTCAGCTCTTTCCTAATTGATGTGAAGAGTCAGTGCAATCCCAATCAAAATTACCATAGGATTTGCTGTAAAATTTGATAACTGATTCTAAAATGTTTATAGAAGAATACAGTCAAGTATATTCAAGACACTCATAAAGAAAAAGGAGCGGCCGGGCGCTTTGGCTCATGCCTGTAATCCCAGCAATTTGGGAGGCTGAGGCGGGTGGATCACCTGAGGTCAGGATTTCGAGACCAGCCTGGCCAACATGGTGGAACCCCGTCTCTACTAAAAATACAAAAATTAGCCAGGCGTGGTGGTGGGCACCTGTAATCCCAGCTACTTGGGAGGCTGAGGCAGGAGAATTGCTTGAACCCGGGAGATGGAGGTTGCAGTGAGCTGAGATCACCCCATTGCACTCCAACCTGGGCAACAACAGCGAAACTCTGTCTCAAAAAACAAAAACAAAAACAAAACAAAACAAAACACAAAAAAGGAGCTCGGGGTTAGGGTTTCACTGCCCTGTGTCCTCTGCTCCAGGAGGCCTAGATGATTCTGCCATAGCCTCAGCCTCCATCGCTCTGTGACCTGATGGTATTAGAAGATTCAGAGCTAAGACTCCAGGACACTCCTGAAGCTGAGAAATGGAACTGGTTACTATTGCTTGGAAATGTCAATAGCAAGAATAGACACCCTATCCCATACTTTCTGTAGGAGAGTAGGACGATACCTTCAGCAGGTACCTGGCTCCACATTGCAAAAGTACCTTCTGAGAGAGCAGCCGATCCTGACAAGAGGGATTCTCCCAGCACAGTGCACCAGCTCTGCTAAGGGACAGACTGCCTGCTGAAGTGGGTCCCTGACCCCTGTGCCTCTTGGCTGAGAGAGACCTCCCAACAGGGGTCGACAGACACCTCATACAGGAGAGCTCCAGCTGGAATCAGGCTGGTGGCCCTTTGGGACAAAGCTTTCAGAGGAAGGTGCAGGCAGAAATCTTTGCTATTCTACAGCCTCCACTGGTGATGCCCAGGTGAAAAGGGTCTGGAGTGGACCTCCAGCAAACTGCAGCAGACCTGCAGAAGAGAGGCCTGACTGTTAGAAGAGAAACTAACAAATAGAAAGCAATACCATCAACATAAAGGACCCCCACAGAAAAATCCCATCCAAGGATCATCAGCCTCAAAGATCAAAGGTAGATAAATCCACAAAGATGAGGGAAAACCAGAACAAAAATGCTGAAAATTTCAAAAACCAGAATGCCTCTTCTCCTCCAAAGGATCACAACTCCTCTCCAGTAAGGGTGCAAAATTGGACAGAGAATGAGATTGATGAATTGGAAGAAGTAGGCTTCAAATGATGGGTAATAACAGACTCCTCTGAGCTAAAGGAGCATGTTCTCACCCACTGCAAGGAAGCTAAGAAATTTGTTAAAAGGTTACAGGAACTGCTAACTAGAATAACCAGTTTAGAGAGAAACATAAATGACCTGATGGTACTGAAAAGCATAGCACGAGAACTTTGTGAAGCATACACAAGTATCAATAGCTGAATCGATCAAGCAGAAGAGAGGATATCCCAGATTGAAGATCAGCTTACTGAAATAAGGTGTGAAGACAAGATTAGAGAAAAAATAATGAAAATGAAGGAACAAAGCCTCCAAGAAATATGGGACTATGTGAAAAGACCAAACCTACGATTGATTGGTGTACCTGAAAGTGACAGGGAGAATGCAACCAAGTTGGAAAACACACTTCAGGATATTATCCAGGAGAACTTCCCCAACCTAGCAAGACAGGCCAACATTCAAATTCAAGAAATATACGGAGAACACCACTAAGATACTCCTCAAGAAGAACAACCCCAAAACAAATAATCATCAGATTCTCCAAGGTTGAAATGAAGGAAAAAATGTGCAGGGCAGCCAGAGAAAGGTCACATTGCCTACAAAGGGAAGCCCATCAGGCTAACAGTGGCTCTCTCTGCAGAAACCCTACAAGCCAGAAGAGAGCGGGGGCCAATATTCAATATTCTTTTTGGTTTATTATTGAGAGGGAGTCTCGCTCTGTTGCCTAGGCTGGAGTGCAATGGCGCAATCTTGGCACATTGCAACCTCTGCCTCCCGGGTTCAAACAATTCTCCCTGCCTCAGCCTCCAGAGTAGCTGGGGTTATAGGCGTGTGCCACCACACTTGGATAATTTTTGTATTTTTAGTAGAGATGAGGTTTCGCCACGTTGGCCAGGCTGGTTTTGAACTCCTGATCTCAAATGATCTGCCTGCCTTGGCCTCCCAAAGTGCTAGGATTACAGGAATGAGCCACCATGCCCAGCCTCAATATTCTTAAAGAAACAAATTTTCAACCGAGAATTTCATATCCAGCCAAACTAGTCTTCATAAGTGAAGGAGAAATAAAATCCTTTACAGATGAGCAAATGCTGAGGGATCTTGTCACCACCAGGCCTGCCTTACAGGAGCTCCTGAAGGAAGCACTAAATATGGAAAGAAAAAACCGGTACCAGCCACTGCAAAAACACACCAAAATAAAAAGACCAATGACACTATGAAGAAACTGCATCAACTAATGTGCAAAATAACCAGCTAGCATCATGATAACAGGATCAAATTCACACATAACAATATTAACCTTAAATGTAAATGGGCTAAATGCCCCAGTTAAAAAACAAAGACTGGCAAATTGGATAAAGAGTCAAGACCCATTGATGTGTTATATTCAGGAGACCCATCTTATGTGCAAAGACACACATAAGCTCAAAATGAAGGGATAGAGGAATATTTACCAAGCAAATGGAAAACAACAACAACAAAAAAGCAAGCATTGCACTCCTAGTCTCTGATAAAACAGACTTTAAAACGACAAAGATCAAAAAAGACAAAGAAGGGCATTACATAATGGTAAAGGGATCAATGCAACAAGAAGAGCTAACTATCCTAAATATGCACCCAATACAGGAGGACCCAGATTCATAAAGCAAGTTCTTAGAGACTACAAAGAGACTTAGACCCCCACACAATAATAGTGGGAGATTTTAATACCCCACTGTCAATATTAGACAGATCAATGAGACAAAAAATTAACAAAAATGAACACTCCTTAGCAAATGATAAAGAATGGAAATCATAACAGTTTCTCAGATCACAGTACAATCAAATTAGAACTTAGGATTAAGAAACTCTCTCAAAACAGCACAACCACATGGAAGTTGAACAACTTGCTCCTGAATGACTACTGGGTAAATAATGAAATTAAGGCAAAAATAAAGAAGTGCTTTGAAACTAATGAGAAGAAAGAGACAGTGTACCTGAATCTCTGGGACGCAGCTAAAGCAGTATTAAGAAGGAAATGTATAGCACTAAATGCCCACATCGGAAAGCTGGAAAGATCTCAAATTGACACTCTAACATCACAATTAAAAGAACTGGAGAAGCAAGGGCAAACAAATTCAAAAGCTAGCAGAAGACAAGAAATAACTAACATCAGAGCAGAACTGAAGGAGATACGGCCACGAAAAATCCTTCAAAAATCCTTCAAAATTCAGCTCCTATGAATGAATCTAGGAGCTGGTTTTTTGAAAAGATTAATAAAATAGACAGACTGCTGGCTAGACTAATAAAGAAGAAAAGAGAAGGATCAAATAGACACAATAAAAAATGATAAAGGGGATATCACCACTGATCCCATAGAAATACAAACTATCATCAGAGAATACTACAAACACCTCTATGCAAATAAACTAGCGACTCTAGAAGAAATGGATAAATTCCTAGACATACACACCCTCTTAAGACTAAACCAGAAAGAAGTCAAATCCCTGAATAGACCAACAACAAGTTCTGAAATTGAGGCAGTAATTAATAGCCTACCAACCAAAAAACACCCAGGACCAGACAGATTCACAGCCGAATTCTACCAGAAGTACAAAGAGGACCTGGTACCATTCCTTCTAAAACTGTTCCAAACAACAGAAAAGAGGGACCCCTCCCTAACTCATTTTATGAGGCCAGCATCATCCTGATACCAAAATCTGGCAGAGACACAACAAAAAAAGAAAATTTCAGGCCAATAACCCTGTTGAACATTGATGCAAAAATCCTCAATAAAATACTGCCAAACAGAATACAGCAGCACATCAAAAAGCTTATCCACCATGCTTAAGTTGGCTTCATCCATGGGATGCAAGGCTGGTTCAACATACACAAATCAATAAATGTAACCCATCACATAAACAGAACCAATGACAAAAAAAACATGATTATCTCAATAGATGCAGAAAAGGCCTTTGACAAAATTCAACATGTCTTCATGCTAAAAACTCTCAAAAAACTAGGTATTGATGGAACATATCTCAAAGTAATAAGAGCTATTTATGACAAATCCATAGCCAATATCATCCTAAATGGGCAAAAGCTGGAAGCATTCCCTTTGAAAACCAGCACAAGACAAGGATGCCCTCTCTCACCACTCCTATTCAACATAGTATTGGAAGTTCTAGCCAGGGCAATCAGACAAGAGAAAGAAATAAAGCGTATTCAAATAGGAAGAGAGGAATTCAAATTGTCTTTGTTTGCAGATGACATGATTGTATATTTAGAAAACCCCTTCTCAGCACAAAAACTCCTTAAGCTGATTAACTTCAGCAAAGTCTCAGGATACAATATCAATGTGCAAATATCACAGGTATTCCTATACACCAACAACAGACAAGCAGAGAGCCAAATCATGAGTGAATTCCCATTCACAATTGCTACAAAGAGAATAAAACACCTAGGAATACAACTTACAAGAAATGTGAAGGGCCTTTTCAAGGAGAACTACAAACCACTGCTCAAGGAAATAAGAGAGGACACAAACAAGTGGAAAAAAATTTCGTGCTCAGGGATAGGAAGAATCAGTATCATGAAAATGGCTACACTACCCAAGTAATTTATAGATTCAATGCTATTCCCATCTAACTACCATTGACTTTCTTTGTAGAGTTAGAAAAAAACTACCTTAAATTTCATATGGAACCATAAATCAGCCCATATAGCCAGGACAATCCTAAGCAAAAACAACAAAGCTGGAGGCATCACGCTACCTGACTTCAAACTATACTACAAGGCTACAGTAACCAAAACAGCACGGTACTGGTACCAGAACAGATATATAGACCAATGGAACAGAACAGAGACCTCAGAAATAACACCACACATTTACAGCCATCCGATATTTGACAAACCTGACAAAAACAAGCAATGGGGAAGGGTTTCCCTATTTAATAAATGGTGTTGGGAAAACTGGCTAGCTATATGCAGAAAACAGAAACTGGACCCCTTCCTTACACCTTATACAAAAATTAACTCAAGATGGATTAAAGACTTAAACGTAAAACCCAAAACCATAAAAACCTTAGAAGAAAACCTAGGCAATACCATTCAGGACATAGGCATGGGCAAAGACTTCATGACTAAAACACCAAAAACAATTGCAACAAAAGCCAAAATTGACAAATGGAATCTAATTAAACTAAAGAGCTTCTGCAGAGCAAAAGTAACTATCATCAGAATGAACAGGTAACCTACAGAATGGAAGAAAATTTTTGCAGTCTAGCTGTCTGACAAAGGTCTAAATCCAGAATCTACAAGGAACTTAAACAAATTTACAAGAAAAAAAAACCCCATCAAAAAGTGGGTGAAGGATATGAACAGATGCTTCTCAAAAGAAGACATTTGTGCAGCCAACAAGCATATGAAAAAATGCTCATCATCACTGGTCATTAGAGAAAGGTTAGTCAAAACCACAATGAGATACCATCTCAGGCCTTTTAGAATGGCGATTATTATAAAGTCAGGAAACAACAGATGCTGTAGAGGATGTGGAGAAATAGAAACGTTTTTACACTGTTGATGGGAGTGTAAATTAGTTCAACCATTGTGGAAGATAGTGTAGCAATTCCTCAAGGATCTAGAACCAGAAATACCATCTGACCGAACAATCCCATTACTGGGTATATACCCAGAGGATTATAAATCATTCTTCTGTAAAGACACATGCACACATGTGTTTATTGCAGCACTATTTACAATAGCAAAGACTTGGAACCAACCCAAATCCCCATCAATGATAGGCTGGATAAAGAAAATGTGGCACATATACACCATATAATACAGCTACAAAACAGAATGAGTTCATGTCCTTTGCAGGGACATGGATGAAGCTAGAAGCCATCATTCTCAGCAAACTAACACATGAACAGAAAACCAAACACCACATGTTCTTGCTTATAAGTGGGAGTTGAACAATGGGAACACATGGACACAAGGAGGAGAACATCACACACTGGGGCCTGTCAGGGGTTAGGAGGTAAGGGGAGGGAGAGTATTAGGACACATATCTAATGCATGCGGGGCTTAAAACCTAGATGACAGGTTGATAGGTGCAGAAAACCACCATGGCAAATGTATGCCTATGTAATAAACCTGCACATTCTGTACATGTATCCCAGAACTTAAAGTAAAATTAAATAAAAGAAAAAGAAAAAGGAGTGTAGACTTGCCGTCATTGCAGAAGCAGAGCTTATTATATTACTAGATGAATTAAGACAATGTGATATAATTTCAGAGAAAACCAAACTGCCCAATAGAGTGGGACTAGGGAGACCAGAAATAGGTCCAAACAACATATGAGAGAGCTGGCATTTCACATCACTGGGGAAATGAAGTTCTCTTTAATAAACAGTGATAATTTTCCATATGTAAAATCAATTAATATGAATTCATGACTTAAATGTGAAAAGCAAAGTTTTAGAGATTTTGTAAGTATAAGGGAATATCTTTATGACCTATAGTTCAAAGATTTTTAAAGCATTATGATGTTAACTATAAAAAATCTTAAAATTCTACATTGCTTCTTAATGAGTCATACAAATATATATACACTAAAACTTTATTTAACCTATATGGCTGCTTTTTACATTATAAGCCAGATAGTTCATAGATCGCAAAGAGCTAATTTCAAAACATTTTTCATAAGAAATAATCTTGCAGGGGAAATAAGCCCAAAACCCAACTAAGAAAGATAGTCCATGGATACTCAATAATCATTTATTAGAGAAAAATGAATTAACTTGAATGATATGAATAATTAGAAAAATAATTAACCTGAACTAGAATTGAGATATTTATTTGTTGCTGTTGTTGTTTTAGTCTTAGCATCAAGTATGTATTTTCTTTAAAGGCCATTTTTTTAATCCTAAAAAATTTCAACTGTAAATAAAATCCATCTCAACCCAAAAATCATTCTCTCAAACAAACTTGATTTAAGCAAGAATGTAATAGGAGAAAAGTGATACCTGCCTTCTTTTTCCATCCTATTCAAAGCATTTTTCTTCCTTATCAAATACTATTACTACAAGATTTGGATAGTCCCCTTTTATAAGTCCTAGAAATTTTGCCTGTGCATTTTGCCCTCATGTTGGTTTAAAGCAACTGAATTCCTGCAGTTTATTAAAGCTTTTCTGGGTTGTTCAAACCATACTGACCACAATAATTAATACTGGATAATTTTAAATCTAGTCCCTAGACATAAATTCAGGTAGTATACATACACTATGATTCTGCTGTTGTCCTTAGGGTTACACTGACTATGCCTTACCATGTAATCAGATGGAATATGTTGAAAATAGAGTAACTGATCTCATTTCAAACCTGTGAGTCATTGGCATTAGTTATCCAATGAGTTTTGTAAGCAAAGTCATGTATAGAATGTATACATATGTAGTTTTGTCCTATCTTATTTTTTCTACTTTTTACAGGGTCTTCCTAAAGTAGCAGATAGTCACAAAAATGCTCAAATAACTAACTTTATAAATGCTAGTTTCCAACCTATTAATTAAAAAAAAAAGAAAAAGAACACTTACCAATGAATGTACTTAATTCAAAAATGGTTTCTACCAACATTGTTCTCAACTCTAATGTACCTGGTAAAATAGCCCATGTATGCTTCTTTGAAATTTTGCCATCTCATTACTTACACCAAAATCAATCTTTAAAAAAACAAAAACAGAGAGACAACGTTGATGTTTGGTCTAGCAGTGTTGCTAAGTATTTTAAAAGCAGCAAAGAGTAAATTGAGAACCACACAACTAATAGTCCAAAATACTATTGTTATATGCCCCTCATCTGCAGCTTGCCTAATGATTTTCCAAATATTAAAAACCAAATGGAGTTAGTGAATTAATGGTCATTACAACACCCATCAGCACGTCTATAAACCATGTGTACAGCTTTATCATATTTTACACACCAAGCAAGAAAGTCAATTATTTGTGACTTCTCTTCCCAGTTAGATTGCACCTCCTCAAAGGCAGAATCATTTTCTTTCCATTTCGCTTCCCTTAGAGTGCCTCATGCCTAGTTGGCTCTATGTGTTATTAATTAAAAAAAGAAAACTAAAACAGAAACTAAGGTTGAATTGTGGCTTGAAACAATGGATGGAAGTAACGTAAGTGTGGAACTCTCTTTAATCTGACCCCCTTAAATTATTCTATATGCAAACAGTTTTTAAAGAAGTCTCCTTAAATGCAAATCACTGTCAGGTTCCATATGGTCACCAAATAAAATATTTCTGAGGCATTGTTTAAAACATCGCAAAGTAATACATTGGAAACAAGTTTTAGTCTCTGTTTCTAAGATGAGTACACAAAAAGATTTTTATCAAATCATTTGAGTTATTGACCTCTTACAAATAAGAATAATGCATTGGAATTTGGGGACTCAGGGGAAAGGGTGGGGGTGGCAAAGGATAAAAATTACACATTGGGTACAGTGTACGCTGCTCGAGTGATGGGTGCACCAAAATATCAGAAATCACCACTAAAGAGCTTACTCATGTCACCAAACACCACCTATTCCACAAAAACCTATTGAAATAAAATATTAAAAATTAAAAAGAAACAGTCACGGGAATGGTTTTACACTGAACAAGCACTTTCAACAAAGGCTTGGAGCTTTGAGTCCTTTTTGAGTCAAATAGCTTAGTATTTTAGGCTTTTGTTCTCTCTGGTAAATATGAATACTCTCCCTGAAAAGGATAAGTTGTTTCGTTTCATATCTTGTAGCAGTGTCTTCAGAGTTAAAACCTGTTACTTCATCTTTCTACTGAGTGATAAGTCACTTGGGCTTTCACCAGTAGCTTTGTGCTTAAGTAAATACCTCTAAATATAATCTAGCACTACCATCAGCTTACCTAAAAAAGCACCCCTTCTATACAATTTCTCACATCTTCAAAAGAAACAAAGATACAGTAACTGGAGGGTACAGTGCTCCAAAAGATAGACTTTTCCTGCCAGGCTTGATCAAACATCACGAATTCTATAGACTTTTCTGTATCAATAGCTTTGTAAAACAAAAATCCTTCCATAAATGGGATGATAGTGAAAAGTATGCTGGTTCTGTGATTGCTCGGCATAAAATTCATTAGATTCTAGCCTGCATTCCTTCAGCATCATTTATAGCTGCAAGAAAAACCAACAGCACCTCCAACAGCAAAAACAGGAACAGTGAGCTCTGGAATTCATGTCATGTTTATTTTGATAAAAGAACTATATTCATTTCAATGAAATTTTGACAAGAAGCGGCAGCAGTGATGAGTTCATTTCCTTGAATTCTCTTTGCCCAAACAGCCTAAGAACTTACCTTTTCACAGAAAGACATTTCTGTGACCACTTTATTAAGTTTTAGCTAAGAAGCAATGCTTCCCATTTTTCATACATTTGAGAAGTCAGTTTACGTAAAAGCAGCTACCCTGAGGACTCATTTTTATGAATCAACTTTTACTGTTGTTGCCAAGAGCTGACATTAGCATGCAGATTTTGAAGTCATTTTAAGTATTGTCTGTTAATTAACATTTACTTTATTAATGTAAAATTTACTAAATCATTCTTTGTTAGAGATTCAAAAATTTAATGTATTCAAATGACTATATAAGATGCACGGACATCTCACATTTTAAGTGTTAGTAGCAGCTAATCTTTCAACGAAATTGCTTCAGTTCTCTAAAATTTGTTTAGAAAATTTCCCTTTAATGACATCACATTTAGTATTGAACCTGAAAGAGAATGTAAAAAAAGAGAAAGAAAAATAAAACACAGGCCGTAGAGACAAGAGAAGATATTTTGACCATAAATACACAATTTCTCAACCTGAACAAAGTTCGAGTCATGCAATTTGATATAAATTGCCCCCAAGAAGAAAAGCAGTGAACAATAAAAAACTATTTTTAATAAGTGAAAAATCTGTGATAGAAAGTTAGAAATGTCTCAACTACTGACTAGGGTTTCAATGTCCTTATATATCAATCATTGCAAGAAAATGTTTCCAGTTAGTTTTGACAAGAAATGAGTGAATATGTTCATTTTACTACTATAACATATCCACAGTCTAAGAAATTGTGAAGCTATAATTTGGAGTAATTATTTATATTATAACCCTCTCAAGTTTATAAAAGGATTTATACCAGAGTTGTTTTAAATATAGTAAACCCTGCAATGCATTAAATATTGACTCAAAGATTATTTCCTATTTTGTCATGGATCAGATAGAAAGTTGATAAGAATGATTGATAATTTATCAAAAGTAAGATCTAGCAACTTGGAAAATAAGAAGTTACGGTTCAATGTTCAATTTCATTTACAGATACTTTTCTCCCAGAGATTTATCTCTGTATAATGTGTCAGGATACACAGAATACAGAATACAATTAACTACTTAATTATACTCTGTATTTAGTAGTGTAGAGAAATTTAAATGAACTTTTTTTTTTATCTAACAACAAAGAAATCTATGGGATATCTACTACGGGACAGATACTAAATGGAAAAGACAGACATACACAGGTGAATAAGACATGGATGGTACTGTTGTATTCACAGTTTAGTGGAAGAAATAGAAAAATGACTAGTAACTAAAGTACAATGTAAAAAGTGTTCTTTATATGGTGTTATGGAAATACAGAATGGAAGAGGAGTTAGGGAAAAGTTCACAAAGAAAGGGTTTTGAGCTGGGTCTTAAAGGAAGAACAGGAGTTCAGTAAGTAGAAAGAAGAGGAAAGTATCTCCATCAAAGAGAGCAGCAAGTGTAAACACATAGGATGTTCAAAAGCATGACATATGTAAAGAACAGTGAGGACTTAGGATATGATGTCCTAAACAATCTCGAAATGCAAAGGAAACAAATCGGGAAGGGAGTTGGACAGAAGTTAAAGCAGAAAAGATAGATTTTATTCATGAATTATTGCAATAAGGGAAAAGTAATAGAACTGAGCTCCATTCTGAATATAACAAGAACAAATGGGGATTTACAGTCAAAGATCATCATGCGGGTATGTGGATAAAAAATTACAAAGAGAAAACATCAAGGGTAAAGGGGATTCTGGCTAAACCAGCTCACCAGGATTCTTTCAGAAGACAAGACAAGGTGATCAGATATTGAGGGTAAGGAATTAGGAATTTGATCAGATACCAAGGATGGGAAAGTCTTGATAAACTGACCCAGCAGGAACCTTACTAAAACTGAACTAAGGGCCGGGCACGGTGGCTCACAGCTGTAATCCCAGCACTTTGCGGGGCCAAGGTGGGCAGATCACAAGGTCAGGAGTTCAAGACCAGCCTGGCCAATATGGTGGAACCCCGTCTCTACTAAAAATACAAAAATTAGCCAGGCGTGATGGCGGGTGCCTGTAGTCCAGCTACTCAGGAGGCTGAGGCAGGAGAATCGCTTGAACCCGGGAGGTGGAGGTTGCAGTGAGCTGAGATCGTGCCACTACACTCCAGCCTGGGTGACAGAGTGAGACTCCATCTCAAAAACAAAAAAAAAACACACACACAAAAAAACAAAAAACTGAACTAAGTGACCCCAGGACAGAGCCCAAGGGTGAAGTCTAGTCAAAAAGAGGACTCAGAGGAGCATAACTAACTGGAGTCTTTGCCAGGGTGTTGAATGGGCTTTCCTGCTATGCTAAAGGATTTGTCCTTCATCATTTAAAAAACAAGAAGCCAGGAAACGTTGGGAACAGAAAAAAACATATAGTATTTAGAAATAAAAAACACAGTCATTTACATTAAGAACTCAGTCAATAGGTTAAAAAAATAAGCGTTAAACCCAGCTGAAGACATAATTACTTGCAAGATAGGTATGAAAAAATTGCCTAATATGCAGACTGGAGATGTAAAGAGATAGAAAAATAACAAAAGGAGTTAAGAGACAAGGAGAACAAAATATGAAAATCCAATATACATCTAGACGGAATTGCAAAAAAAGAATAGAAAGAAATATGGAGATGCAAACACCTGAAAAGTAATGTCTGGAAGAAGTGAGCTGCCATGTTGTGAGATGGCCTGTGGCAAAGAGCAATGGGATACCTCCAAGGGCTGAGAGTGGTCCCCGTGGACAGTCAGCAAGGAAGCAGGGTCCTCAAGGCCTGCAGCTGCAGGGCTCTGAATGCTGGCAACTGTGTGAATGTAGAAGAGAATCCCAAGTTCCAGAAGGTATATAGCCTGGTCAACAACTGGTGGGTAGCCTTGTGAAACCCTGAGCTGAAGGCCCAGTTAAGATGTGTCTGAACCCTGACCCATGGAATGTATGAGATAATAAATCAAAGGACTTACATCCATGAAAGGGAGAGCAAACTTTTCAGCAGTGGAAATAAGAGTGGTGCAATACCTGTGGAGATCTCCAAGCATAGATGGATGATGACGAGTGGAGATGTTGGAGAGAAGTGAAGCTTTCCATGTGAAGAACAGGACAAGACCATACCTCTAGGAACACCTTGATGTGTCTCACCAAAGTCTACGCATCTGTTTGAAAGCTTTGCCATGAAAGGCAGGCCAAACTCACATAGGGTCAGCATAGCCTTCTTGGTCACATCTTGGAAAAAAAATGCCCGTGTTCAACAGGTTATGCCAAAAATCCTGGAATATGCTGAGTTGTTTATATTCTTTCTACCCTGAAAATATTCTACCCCCTCTGACAGACTTGTCAATGACTATCAAAATGAACGATTATGTATCGAACATCTACTAGAAGCTATGTTACATGATAGTTTTCTTTCATATTAAAAGTATGATGACTAAAGCCACATGTATTCATGGGCATTCACCCCAGGATGTGCTGCATGTATCATGATCAAGATGCCATAATACTCTTCTAGAAAAACAATGCAGTTTACCCATGAAAATCAGCTTGACTAGGTAGCTAAATTATGTGCATGGTTTGTAAATTGGCTCCACACGATGCTCACTTGAAGCCAATCTGGGATCCTGTCCTAATAACTATAAAAGTGGGCCAGGGAGAGCTTCCAATATCAGAAATTGGAGAAGTGTCAATCCACATCTGGGATCTTCAGTAGCAGAGGGTGTAGGATATTATTATTCAATATTACTCATTTAGATTTGCTGGCAAACACGACACAAGCAGATGCTGCATACATAGCGATCTAGTTAAGGACATGGGCTATTTTTCTAAAAGGAAGAGCAATTATTGTCGATTTCAGTTGTAATTCCTTGACTAGTAGAAGACATTTTAAAAATACATTGCATAATCATAAGATATATATGATTATTTATAAAATCATATAAGACATAATCACGCAATAACAATCGCCCATGTACTACCTCCCCAGCTAAAGAAGAAGCTGACATTTTTTTCTCCTCTGATATATATAACTGTGACAGTTTGAAAAGTGCCTTCAGGGAAGGTTATAAGAGTCTCCAAATACAAATCCGTGTCACTTAAAACTGGACAACACCTTGTGGAAACTACAGAACAAAATGTGTCTGCACTGACTTGGACCCCATTCCTCTTTTTTATTTTTATATTTTATTTATTTTATTTTATTTTTTATTGAGACAGTGTCTCGCTCTGTCACCAGGCTGGAATGCAGTGGCGCGATCTCGACTCACTGCAACTTCTGCTGCTCAGGCTCAAGCAATTCTTGTGCCTCAGCCTCCTGAGTAGCCGAGACTACAGGTATGTGCCACCATGCCCAGCTAAATTTTTTGTATTTTTAGTAGAGATGGGGTTTCGCCATATTGGCCAGGCTGGTCTCAAACTCCTGAGCTCAAGTGATCTGCCCACTTCGGCCTCCCAAAGTGCTGTGATTACATGTGTGAGCCACCACGCCTGGCCCCATTCCTTTTATCTATGACAATCACCTACTTGCTCTAGTCCCCAGTTCAGCTCATCTTTTAAATACCAAACTTCTGGCTACTCAGTGGAATAGCCCTCTTTGCCCTTGTGCCAATGTGGGTTACAGGTGCCTCTACTTATGCCAACCCAGCCTCCTCGTCTGTCTCATGGCAGATCCCACAGACCCACTGTCCAGCCCCTTGGTGTGGTTTCTCCCCATTCCATTTTCCATCTCATTTGCTAGGATCAGCAGTGCCAGGTTGCAGCAGTAACATCAAGAGTAATGGTGAAACACTGGAAAATTCCAGAAGAAATAAATCTTGGCTCCCAAGTATTTAACATAGAGTGTCTCTGATGGGTATGTATTAGTTTCCTATAGCTGCTATAACAAATTACCTCCAACTTGGTGAACTAAAATAACAGAAATTTATTCTATCACAGTTCTGAAACCCAGAAGTACTAAATCAAAATGTCTACAGAGCCATGCTGCCTTTGAAGACTCCAAGGAAGGATCTATTTCTTGCTTCTCCTAGTTTCTGGTGGATCCAGGCATTCCTTGACTTGTGGCCACATCACTCCTTGGTTATATTGTCTCCTCTTCTTCTCTTACAAAACTCCCTATGCCTCTCAGTTATAAGAATACATGTGATTGCATTTAGAGCCCACCCAGATCTCCTGGATAAGATCTTCCTCTTCAGATTCTTAACCATGTCATTGATGAACACCCACAAGACTTTAGCCAGAGCTTGAAGACACATATAAACTTAGAGAAAGCTACTAGATCTCCCTCCTGGAACCTCCCAAAAAGCTCTCCACAATCTGCTACTGGAAGATTATAACTCCAGCAAGCTGGTCCCAGAAGTAGTGCAATATCTTATAACATTCGATAGATCTGTTTTTCCAAGAGAATCTCATTTTACAAATACCTTTTCTGTCTGGCTTGGCATTTAATAAGATAAAGATCAATCTTGGGCTTCTGCACTCAGAAAAAGAAGTCCATTTTAGCAGTGATACTATAATAATAATTATTATTATTATTATCATCGTTACTAAGATACTCATCTATTGATTCATTGTAGATACTTACTTTTTTAATGTTGATGTTAGAAAAAGCATTTAACCTCTGGATTCCAGTTTCTGCAGCTACTAAAACCATGGAACCATATGCTACATTACAGGAAATAGGTGATAAACTACTTCATGAAAAAAACAAATGGTTGAAAATTATCCACAATTAATAAAACAAACTGAGTCTTGTATTAAAGAACATATATAAAGCATAATATTTTGAGATAACACGAAAACTAAGAAAACATCCTAAAAGCGCCCAAAGAAAAAAGACAAGTCTTCAAGCAACAAAAACAGACTGTTAGAATGCGGCTCATTAACAATGGTAGAGGAAACAATGAATCTCAAGTGCTAAATTAAAATATTCAACCTCAAATTCAAGCTTAGCTAAATCGCCATTCAGAAGCAAAGCAAAAGAAAAACATTTTTAGTTTTCTAAAAATTACCACTGCAAATGCTTATTAAAGAAATGATTAGAGGCCGGGCGCGGTGGCTCACGCCTGTAATCCCAGCACTTTGGGAGGCCGAGGCGGGCGGATCACGAGGTCAGGAGATCGAGACCATCCTGGCTAACACGGTGAAACCCAGTCTCTACTAAAAATACAAAAAATTAGCCGGGCGTGGTAGCGGGCGCCTGTAGTCCCAGCTACTCGGGAGGCTGAGGCAGGAGAATGGCGTGAACCTGGGAGGCGGAGCTTGCAGTGAGCCGAGATCGCGCCACTGCACTCCAGCCTGGGCGACAGAGCGAGACTCCGTCTCAAAAAAAAAAAAAAGAAATGATTAGAAGATAATTCAGAGAGAAGTTTAGAAATTTACGCTAATGAAGGAGGAGGATGCAAGAAACAATGGTAAGCAGAGAAATCAGGAAGCACAAGTAAATGTCATCAAGTATTCTCTAAAGCAGTGATCATAATCACTAACCTAAGGATAAAAAGCAGGAACAAATAAAATATTAAAAAGTGACAACTAATGTATAGCTATGTGCTAGAAATTCTTTCAAGTGCTTTAGGGAGAGTGAGAGAGAGACAGAAAAATGTAGTTTCATGGTTTTGAAGAGATGCAGGACATGCTACCCCAAAATATTTTAATTTGAGAAAACTGCAGAAGCAGAAAGGTCTCTTTGACTCTCCTCTACCCTTGCTCTCTGAAGCAAGTCATGAAATCTAGGAAGAATTTTCTGACCCTCCACTGAAGCAAGTTATAAGACCTTCAAGTGAGAGGGGCCCTCTCTATACCTAAGGGACATTCTTATTGCTGAAGGCAAAGTATTACAGAGAAGAATCTGAACAATTAGGCCTCGTATTATACATATATTATATATATATACACACACACACACACACACAACTGTATATAAAGCCTAATATATATAAACTCTAAGTAGGTATATAGTTTATATATAAACTAAAGCTATATAGTTTATATATAGATATAAACTAAAGCTATATAGTTTATATATAGATATAAACTATATAGCTGGTCTCGAACTATAGTTTATATATATATATATAAACTCTATAGAGTTTATATATTAGGCTTTATATACAGTATGTGTATATGTATTATATATGTATATATATAATATGAGGCCTAATTGTTCAGATTCTATATAGTTTATATATATAATATACTCTCTCTATATGTATTATATATAATATACTCTATATGTATTATATATAATATATAATAAACCCTATACAGTTTATATATAATATATAATATATATAATATATGATATATGTATTTGTGTATATATAATATATACACAAACTATATATATAGATATAGTTTATATAGATAGACTATATATATAGTTACTACTAATATCCTCACTTATAGATGGTGAAACCAGGCCAAAAATGACTAAATGACTTGTTTAAGAAATAACAGCTGGCAAGTAGTAGACCCAGGATTTGAACATATACTCCTGACCAGTACCCTGTCCTGCTACTATGAGTTAGCAATGTAGAAGAAACATCTAAGAAAATTAACCCAAAAAATGTAGGCAATAATGATATGTAATATCAAGAAAAGTTACTGGAGTTAAAGTTTTTTTAACCTCCTGTATCACTTTGGGAGAGATTAGAGATCCTGATTAAAGTTGAGCTTTACTTAGATAAACAGGCAAAACAAACAAGATCTTTTCCATGTTGCTGACAGAAAGTGGTGTGGTATTGTTGAGAAAATTTGAAAATATGCATACCCTATGACCCAATACTTCTGACCCTAGACATGCGTGAGAAACTTCTGCAAACGTGAAACAGGAGATGTATGTTCTAGGAAATAAGGTATATAATAGAATAAAACTGTAAAAATTAAAAATGTCTACTGAAAGGAGAATGGAGTCAAAGTTTTGGTATATCCAAATAATGCAATATTATACAGCCATGAAAATAAATAAACTATAGCTACCCATAATAATCTAGATAAAATGCAATTCGTTAATATTAAGTGAGTAAGAAGCTTTATGAGACTGATATCATTTTGTTGAATTTAAAAACAATTAAAATTAAATAATTTCTTATTTAGGCTAATAGATTTAGGGTAAAACTACCGAAGAAAATCAAAAGAAACACAAAATTAAGATAAGAAAATGTAATTTAAAAAAGGAGCACACAAGTCGATGAAAGCTGTCAATTTTTTTGTTTTTAGTTGTCTGGTGGATTCATCTGCATTACGGAACAAATCAACTGTACCATGCAAGTATAAATGATAACTGTGTCTGTCACTAATCAAGAACTATGATTTCCTGAAATTATAGTGAAGGAAAAATATATTTTTCTCATCCATCCTATGTTCCTAGCAGAGGCTCCTATAACAAGACGGATTAACAAGAGAAGAGCACACAAATTTATTTAATAAAAGTTTTACATAGTATGGGAGCCTTCATAAGGAAATAAAGGCCTGAAGAAACAGTTGAACCTAAGTGTTTTGTAAAGTAGGTTTAATTAGTCATGGAAAAATAGGATAGATCAAAAAGGGTATGTGCTAATGGTACTAAATAGCGAGACACTTAGGGAGGTCACAAATGAAATAATACTGCAGCTGGGTATTATTATTTATTTTTAAATTTATTATTATTATTATTTTTTTTGAGACGGAGTCTCACTCTGTCACCCAGGCTGGAGTGCAGTGGCACAATCTCGGTTTACTGAAACCTCCGCCTCCTGGGTTCAAGCAATTCTCCCGCCTCAGCTTCCCAGGTAGCTGGAATTACAAGCATGCCCCATTTTGTATTTTTAGTAGAGACGGGGCTTCACCATATTGGCCAAGCTGGTCTCGAACTCCCGATCTCAAGTGATCCGCCCACCTTGGCATTCCAAAGTGCTAGGATTACAGGCGTGAGCCACTGCGCCCGGCTAGGAGCTGGGTATTCAATAACAAATTTCCTCTTTATTCCTGCAAGTCACTCTAGTAAGCACTGGTGGAAGAAAAATGAGTTTCCTGGATTCAGTTTCCAATTCTGCTATCAAATCATTCTGTGAGCACATGGAAATAAAGGGATAATTATACTTCACAGCTGTGTAGTGTCTTTCAGGCATGTACATTAACTCATAATTCTCATAATATACCTGTCAAATTACAGTGTAGTCATAGATCTTACCACTATTACTAAGTACCTAAAATATAATCAATAAAACTTAGCCAGTATTATTATATTGATGTCACTCAATGTATTTAAGTATAAGGAAGTTACCACGCTATAATTTACTAGAGCATTGGTTCTCTTTTTTTTTTTTTTTGAGATGGATGGAGTTTCGCTCTTGTTGCCCAGGCTGGAGTGCAATGGCACGATCTCGGCTCACTGCAACCTCCGCCTCCCAGGTTCAAGCCATTCTCCTGCCTCAGCCTCCCCAGTAGCTAGGATTACAGGCATGTGCCACCACGCCCAGCTAATTTTGTATTTTTAGTAGAGATGGGGTTTCTCCATGTTGGTCAGGCTGGTCTTGAACTCCCGACCTCAGGTGATCTGCCCGCCTCGGCCTCCCAAAGTGCTGGGATTACAGGCATGAACCACTGCGCCTGGCCACATTGGTTCTCAAATATTATTTAGCTTAAGTATTACCCAAAGGTCTTGTTAAAATGCAGAATCCCAGGACTCATCACTGGTTATTCTGATTCCTCTCTTCTGGGATTAGGTAGAGAAATTTACAATTGTAAAAACCTACCCAAACAATTCAAACGCAAATGGTCTTCAGTCAATACCATTAAAAATTACTATTTAAGCGGACCAAAGGATATGCCAAACAATAAACCAAAGAATTTTATGTAACCTCATATAAGTGCTAATCTAAGGCGTGCAAACCAAGTTCTAGGCATCTCCCACCCATAACATTATGACCTGCTATTGACCTAAGAAAATATGGATGAACTTACCATAGGATCTAGCTCCAAATTTTCAAACTTAACCCTGAAGCTCACAAAGAGGCTCTGTTCTCCTTGGGGCGAGTTCTGAGGGATCCATGCTAGGACTCTAATTCATTCAACACTGATGACTCAACCCCTTTTCCAAAGAATTTCAAATACTAATACAGAAGATAAACTTGTAAGCAAGCATTCAAATCAATCATGAAAAATGTTATAATAGCAGTAAAGTCGAAGATTAATTGGGACATGTCTAATTTCATATTTTGATAAATAAGAAGATTTCACAGAGAAGGCAAACCTTGAACAAGATTCATAAGTAAATGGGAACTTTAATCTTCTAAACTAGAAGAAAAAGAAAGGTGAAATAAGGGCAAGTGGGCTACAGGACACCCAATGCAAAGACCTCAGTACAGCAAAGACCCACAAGTGAGAAACTAGTGCGTGCTGGGCCCACTTAGAAAACTCAACACTTAACTTAGACCGCTAAGAACATGCCATGTTATGGAAAGAACTGGGCACACCTCTGGAGAGGTACCACTCCCCTAGTACTTAGCAGAATTGGGCATAACTTTCCAGTTTGTTCAAAAATATATATAAACTAAAATCAAAATTCATTTCCATCGTTTTCATTATCATCTCATAAAAGAGTTACCTGTTACTTGTGCTAACCTGTTTTCTCTCTTTTTACTTTGGTTGTATTATTTTTTTAATGGTTTGGGGGAATAGTCCCACCTTATTACCACATGGTTAATTTGATATAACTTTTGATACTGCCAAAATACAGGAGAGGGTAAGGCGAACCTCCACACGCACTATCAAATTAATTCTGCCCATTTTTTCCTAATGTAGAAGACCCACATCCCCCGCCGACCTCTTTATCTTTAAAGTGATTACAGAGTCTAACGCCGCTCAGAGAAAGCTTCTCGTGGAGGCTTCGTCCACGTGCTGTCCTCTATTTGCGTTCTCCCACTCCTCCTCTGGGGACCCACCTGAGGAAGACAGGGGCAGTCTGTCTTGGGCCTTGCACATAGAAAAAGACACCACAAATGCATACTGTAGTATGATTCTGAGCTTTACTCCTTTTTTCTTGAAAGTTGTTTTAGAAGGAGAGAGAAATGTGCAAAAATAAGCTGATTTAGAATTTGGCTCTGAGTTTTTGTTCTAACTTCATTGGTTTTGTTTCATGTAAAGAGAATGTGGAACAGAGTGGAGGGCCTGACCTTCCTGGCTGTGTCTGGGAGCACATGGCCAATTTTTGAAGCTGCTTGGAAGAGAAGGTCATAAGCGGCGGGAAGTACTAAGGTACTAGAAGGTGAGAAAGCTTGAAAATTCCCAGAATCTACCTTAGAAAGCAGCTTCATTCTTTTTTTTTTTTTTTTTTTTTTCGAGACGGAGTCTCGCTCTGTCGCCCAGGCTGGAGTGCAGTGGCATGATCTCAGCTCACTGCAACCTCCACCTCCCGGGTTCAAGTGATTCTCCTGCCTCAGCCTCCCAAGTAGCTGGGACTACAGGCACGTGCCACCATGCCCAGCTAATTTTTTGTATTTTTAGTAGAGACAGGGTTTTACTGTGTTAGCCAGGATGGTCTCGATCTCCTGACCTCGTGATCTGCCCGCCTCGGCCTCCCAAAGTGCTGGGATTACAGGCGTGAGCCACTGCGCCCGGCCAGCAGTTTCATTCTCAGGGTCAAAGACCTGAAGAAAGGCAAGCAAGATCTACCAACCTACAGAGAACCTATGAATCCTGACTCAGTATTAAATGAGTGACCTTGCATTTCTGTTTGCAATGGGACAGTTACTGTACTTTCTATTGTTCCTGGATAATTCTTTTTTTAAAATTAAAATAGAGTTTATTAGCTTTTCTTTTAATATAAACATGAGAAATAAAAACCACATAAATTGTAGGATTCTTTTCAAAATAAAACTGTAACCAATACTTGAATCTCCAAGCTCTGAACTCCATAAATAATGTGATTTTTTTGTTTTTGAGGTGGTAGGTTGTAATATTTTTATACCTTTATTTATCGTTCATGTCTCTGTCGTTTAAGCATGATGGAAACTGCAGCACAATATGATGTGAAGCATTGCTATCCTGGCCCAGAAATGCTTTGTTTATAAGCACATTCCTAGGATTATATTTGAGACAGTAGGAGAAATAGATTTCACATAGTTGAGAGCACTAATCTCTTTTTAGTATCTCAAATTTAGGTGACATCGTTATCAGTCTCCTAAAACTATTTGCTCCTTGCCTTTTAAAGCCTGAAGTAAGAGTTCCTAAGGGTTATGTAAGTTATTTCTTTTTCTTTTCTTTTTTTTTTGAGACGGAGTCTTGCTCTGTCCCCCAGGCTGGAGTGCAGTGGCATGCTCTCAGCTCACTGCAACCTCCGCCTCCCAGGTTCACGCCATTCTCCTGCCTCAGCCTCCGGAGTAGTTGGGACTACACGTGCCCACCACCACGCCGGGCTAATTTTTTTTTTTTTTTTTTTTTTTTTGTATTTTCAGTAGAGACGGGGTTTCACTGTGTTAGCCAGGATGGTCTCAAGCTCCTGACCTCGTGATCCACCCACTTCAGCCTCCCAAAGTGCTGGGATTATAGGCATGAGCCACCGCACCCGGCCAAGTTATTTCTTAAATAACTTGCCCTTATTTCACTTTTCTTTTTCTTCTAGTTTAGAAGATTAAAGTTCCCATTTACTTATGAATCTTGTTCAAGGTTTGCCTTCTCTGTGAAATCTTCTTATTTATCAAAATATGAAATTAGACATGTCCCAATTAATCTTCGACTTTACTGCTATTATAACATTTTTCATGATTGATTTGAATGCTTGCTTACAAGTTTATCTTCTGTATTAGTATTTGAAATTCTTTGGAAAAGGGGTTGAGTCATCAGTGTTGAAGTTATTTCTTAAATAACTGCATAATTCTTAATAGTGATCCCTTTCAAATCCCAAAAGTGTTTCAATATGGATGATAAATTATACGGCAATTCTAAGTATAAATGGTAACAGTAACAGCTAATATTCATTGAGTACCTATGTACAGGGGACTATTATAAGAGTTTTGTATGTATTAAGTTCTCCCTTTTTACGTCCGACAGTTTATGTAGATACTAATATTCTCACTTTACGTATGAGAAAACGGAGCCACTGAGAGATTGAGTGACTTTCCCAAGACTATACAGCTAACAAGTAGAGGAGCCTAGATTTTATCCTAGTATTAAGGTTCTAAAGCTCATACTTCTAAGTACTACTGATACTTCCTTTCAGCTATAAGGTGTGCACCCGATAATGTTCATTAACTAGCGAGACATATTATTTTCTCCATTTTACAAATAAGAGCATTGAGAGAGAAATTCAGTTGCTACTTTTAAGCCATAAACTCCACCAGTCTGACTTTAGAATCCGTGTTCTTGATGTCTACTCCGTATTCCTCCCTGAAATATTTCAGAAATTATAGATCCTGAAATATTTCAGAAATTATAGATCCTGAAATATTTCAGGAGCCCTTGGAAACTGGAATTTTTAGGAGATTGCACATCAGACATCAGCAGAACTTTTTGTTCACTCTTAGGATGAGAACTGAAATATCGTAATAGAAGCTTTACCCTTCTGTAAGAGAGCAAACACAGTCTTGCATTTTTAACAGTTATGATTTCTAGGGTTCAATGAGAAAATATAATGCATGGTGTTAAAAGATGTGGGTTAAATTTGGACCTTAGGCAAGTTTTTTTAGACCCTTTGTCTTCTCAGATATGAAAACAGAGGCAAAGCTAGGGAAATGATGCAGTCACTACAGCATTATTAAAGTCTATGAATATTTTGTGGGTTTTGTCTCTAAAGAATATTAGGTTTGTCAACTAATTTATCAGTACCCCAACCCAGGAACCTGGGAGTAATAGCAAGAGGAGTTAAGGTTTTTCTGCTACACTTGGCCTCTAATAAGCAAACCTTCTATAGTCACACCTGGGGCTGCCATGTGCAGAACACAGCAGTGACCATCAACTGTAATATGTGATCCATTAAGTTTACCAACTAGAGATGCAAAATATTCACACATTCCTCTAGACTTTTCCTTGCCTACTAACACCTCATCTTCTGCATGTTGTGAGACTAGTCATATTCAGCCAATTAATATTCAGCCAATTCGGCTAAGGAAGGTTTACTCAAACAGCTGTTTAACATCTTTTCTGTACTTCTCACTTTATTCCCTGCAGGGAAGAAGAACAAACAACAAACCAATTGCAGTGTGTATAAGAAAATAAAGGCTGGGCACGGTGGCATATACCTATAATCCCAACACTTTGGGAGGCTGAGGTGGGCAGATCACAAGGTCAGGATTTCGAGACCAGCCTGGCCAATATGGTGAAACCCAGTCTCTACTAAAAATACAAAAATTAGCTAGGTGTGGTGGCGGGTTCCTGTAGTCCCAGCTACTCGGGAGGCTGAGGCAGGAGAATTGCTTGAACCTGGAAGGTGGAGGTTACAGTGAGCAAAGATCTTGCCACTACACTCCAGCCTGGGCTACAGAGCGAGACTCCATCTCAAAAAAAAAAAAAAAAAAAAGAAGGAAAAAAAAAGAAAAAAAAAAAGAAGAAGAAAACAAGGAGTCATGCAGGCTGTGGAAACACAAAGAAACACACAGACACATTGTGGTTTCCCCCCTTAACCCCTTAAGTGATTACTAGTTTCACAGTAGAAATGCATAGCCCCCACACAACTCCCTGTGCATCCTCTTCCCAAGACAACCTTGGAAGGCAGTTTCTGTTTTGTTGGGATTTTTTTTCAATTGGCAGTTAGCTTTCAATTTTAAAAACATCTTCTGGCCACTTGTAGCTATCTCCAGAAATGACAATATCAATTTAATTTTATAATAAACAACTTCCTTATGACTAGAAAAGCAAATCGATCAATTAAGAAGCAGTGGAGAACAGGAAAAAAAAAGAGAAAAACAAAGAGGAAAGGTTTCTCTCTGCTTTAGGTCTATTTCCAATTACAGTTCAATCATTATTCTCAATTTTTAAAAATTCACTAAATATAAATCACCAGATTAAAGCTAGAATATGTTCTTATTGCCACTAGAAGTAAGAAGAAGAGGAAGGAAGGAAGGAAAGAAGGAAGGAAGAACAAAGAAAGTAAGAGACAGAAAGAAAGAGGAATGAAAAGAAAAGAAAGATTTATGTAAACTTCAAAGTGTTCAAAAATTTGAATGGAAGCAAATATATGGAAAAATACCACATGCTTATGGATTACTATTGTTAAAGTGTTCATGGTACCCAAAGAGAGACCAAATTCAATGCAATCCTTATCAAAATTCCAGTGGAAGTTCTAAGTTCTTTGAGAAATCTCTAAATTGCTTCCCACAGTGGCTGAACTAATTTACATTCCCACAGGCAGTGTATAAGCATTCCCTTTTCTTCACAACCTCACCAGTATCTGTTATTTTTTGACTTTTTATAATAGCCATTCTGACTGCTGTGAGACGGTAAATCATTGTGGTTTTGGTTTGCAGTTCTCAGATGATGAGTGATGTTGAGTATTTTTTTCATATGCTTGTTGGCTGCATGCATGTCTTCTCTTGAGAAGCATGTCTTCTCTTGGCTGCATGCATGTCTTCTCTGTTCATGTTCTTTGTCTATTTTTTTGACTATTCTAAGAAAATTTTGGTGGGGTTGTTTGTTTTTTCTTGTAGAGTTGTTTAAGTTCCTTATAGATGCTGGATATTAGACCTTTATCAGATGCATAGTTTGCAAATACATTTTCCCATTCTGTAGGTTGTCTGTTTACCCTTTTGATTGTTTATTTTGCTGTGCAGAAGCTCTTTAATTATATTCTACTTGTCAATTTTTGTTTCTGTTGCAATTGCTTTTGGAGTCTTTATCATGAAATCCTTGCCAGGGTCTATATCCAGAATGACATTTCGTAGGTTTCCTAGGGTTTTTACAGTTTTAGGTTTTACATTTAAGTCTTTCACCCATCTTGAGTGAGTTTTTGTATATGGTGAAAGAAAAGGGTCCAATTTCATTCTTCTGCATTGGGCTAGCTCCTAGCGTCACTTATTGGTGATGCTTTTGTTCTCTCTCTCTCATTCTTTTTTCTTTTCTTCTTTCCTTCCTTCCTTTTTTCTCTCCTTCCTCCCTCTTCTTCTTCCTCTTCCTAATGGTTATACAAAAATATTAGAGCTTTAGTTTGGTATTGGATAGCTAGTTCTTTCCCCATTGCTTGTTATTATTGAATTTATTGACCCAGTAATCCTATTGCTGGGTATATACCCAAAGGGATGTAAATCATTCTACCATAAAGACACATGCACACATATGCTCATCACAGCACTAGCAAAGACATAAACTCAACCTAGATGCCCATCAATGGAGACTGGATAAAGAAAATGTGGTACATATAAACCATAGAATACTATGCAGCCATAAAAATAGAATGAAATCATATCCTTTGCAGCAACATGGATAGAGTTGGAGGCCATTATGCTAAGAAAATTAATGCAGGAACAGAAAACCAAATACCACATGTTCTCACTTATAAGTAGGAGCTAAACATTAAGTAAACATGGACATTAAGAAGGGAACAATAAACAGTGTGGTCTATTGAAGGTAGAGAGTGGGAGGAGGGAGGGGATCTAAAAACTACCTATAGAGTACTATGCTGCTCATTACCTGGGTGATGAAATAATATGTACACCAAATCCCCATGTCATACAGTTTACCCATGCAACAAATCTGCACATGTACACCTGAACCTACAATAAAAAGTTGAAAGGAAAAATAAATAATCAATCAATTAAAAAAATCCAATGGCATTTTCACACAAACAGTTTCAACTTCCCTTTCTTAATTATTCGAATGTTATTCTTTTAGTTGGAGGAAAACACCCTTCATGTGAGAATTTTATCTTCTACTTTTAAAAAACAATGAAGGTCAGAGTAATCTTTTTGCAACTGCTATTTTTTAAGTTTCTTTAATTCAAAATAGTCAATAAACCAGAGAAGCATATTTTTGGGTAGCATATTCTTAACTCTTTCAATATAGTGGAATATTATTCAGCCTTAAGAAGGAAGGAAATCCTTTCCTTCATGACAGCATAGATGAACCTGGAGGACTTTATGTCAAGTGAAATAAGCCAAACACAGAAACACAATACTGCATGATCTCTTAAAAAGTGGAAGTAGAGAGTAGGATGGTGGTTTCCAGGAACTGGGAGGTGGGGGAAATGGGAAGATGCTGGTCAAAGGGAATGAAATTTCAGTTATGCTGGACGAATAAGGTCTGGATATCTAATGTCCAGCGTGGTGACTATAGTTAATAGTCTTCTATTGTACACTCAAAATTAGCTAAGAGTGTAGATAATAAACATTCTCTCCAAAAAAAAAAAAATGCTATGTGAGGTGAAATATATGTTAATTAACTTGATAATGATAATTATTTTACAATACATATGTATATGAAAACAACATGCTGTATACCTTTAATGTATACAGTATTTATTTGTCAGTTATACCTCAGTAAAGCTGGGGGTCAGGGGAGCAAAGGAGAACAAATATACTGACTCAAGTTTTGTGAGACCCAGTCTGGATACTAGTTTAGTGATTACTTTGTAGATAGACATCATCTGGAATTAGGCATATTGCCTTTCTATGTTTGGTAAATAAACAATATTAATCTAAATAGGGAGATTTATTTAGAATTAATATTACACATATTGCTTAAGAGAATAACAGCTACATATGAAGCACATTATACAAAATAGAGTTCCAACACAATTAATACGCTATTTACATGTATACTTTATTTAAACAACTAATTCTTCCTGACACAAGGAATTAGTAGGTTTGCTCATTTTTCTGCTCATCTCTCCAAATGACCTGTCTTTACTTTCTTTAAATTTCACTTTGCTTTGCCTTCACTCAGAGTGGAAAGAACTATTTTTATCCTTTAGGTACCTACTCTTTCTGATGGAAAAGCCTAGCTTCCTGCTAGAGTCACCAGAGAGACATTCACCTCAAGAAATAAGATTTCGGTCTCTAGTACACTTATAGTAATGCAAATAGAATCCAGTAGACCTCTGCCCTTTTAAATCCAGCAGCAGGAACCCAGCAGTTGTTCCTCACACAGCCCAGCTCAGCTGCCCACAGCACTAGTATTGCTTACCCACTTTTCTAAGAAATGGAGTACACTGTGGGATTTTTTGTTTTGTTTTTTGTAGTTCTTACTATCTTACAACAGGCATTTTATTCTTCTTAAAAACAATGAATTTATTTCAGTAAGGTAAATACATATGTGTCAGGAAGAACTTTTTTGAAATCATTTCTCTTTAAAATTTAGTCCTGACCAAATTTCTCACTGCCTGGACAGAGAAATAAACAGTAAAAATCATTACTATAAAAGGATCAGTAGACATGTACACATGGTAGAACCATGTCCCTAGGTTGTTGGTGGTGGTGTTTTGCTATGTTTTCTTTTTGGAGATGAGAAGGGTAGTCAGAAATATTTTCGATGAATGTAATCTTTAAACTTTAATTTAAAATGTGAATAGGAATTTCTTCTAGGTAGAGAAAGCAATTTCAAGACAACTTCCATTCATGCTTTCAATCAATTCTCCAGAATTAAAGAACATGAGAGTCCAGGTTTGAAAAAAACGCACTGAGGACTCCCACATGATAAATTAAAAGAGCTCACATCAAGACATACCATCATACTTTCTCAGAAAGTTGGCAATAAAGAGGTACAGTGATACACCCAGAGTGAAAGAAAGAAGCCCCATACAAAGAAATACCATAAAAAATGGCATCCAACTTTTAAAATGTTTCAGAAATCCAGAAAACAATTTGAGGGGAAATTATGTCTAACATAGTATTCTATACCCAGACATTTATCAATCAAATTTGATAGCAGAATTAAAATATTTCAGATATATAAAATAGATCAAGGTTTAGCCACCTTGCACCATTTCCTGGGAAACACCTGTGTATTATAAATTTTAAAACTTTATGTTTTCCTGTTGCATCAACATCCCCACAAACAGGCTCTGAGCACCCCACACAGGAAACCAGGTGCATGTATGTGATAAGTGCTGCCCTACCACTAGTTTCTCTTCTTGAAGGTAAGTCACTTGCTAGGTGACAAAACAAATTTAAGAAGACTGAAATCATTTCAAGTATCTTTCCCAAACCGCAACATTAGCAAACTAAAAATCAATAACAAAAGTAAAATGGAAAAATTCACAAATGGAATCTGTAAAATGGAAATTTCACAATAAATTCTTGAATAGTCATTGAGTCAAGGAAGAAATCCAAAGGGAAATTAGAAAATACCTCAAGACCGACAAAAACAAAAACAACGTGCTAAAACATAGAAGGCAAAAAAAGAGCAGTCCTATAAAGGAAGTTTAGAGATAAACATCTACAGTAAGAAAACAAAAAGATCTCAAATGAACAACCTAAGAGTATAAGTAAAGGAACTAGTAAAAGAAGACCAAGCTAAGCCCAAAGTTAGCAAATGGAAGAAAATAATAAAGATTAGAGCAAAAATAAATGAAATCAAGGGTAGAAAAACAGTAGAAAAGATCGATAAAATTAAAAGCTGGTTTTTAAGAACACAAACAAAATTGATAAACCCTTAGTTAAATCAATTAAGAAAAAAAGAGAGAAAATTAAATAAAATCAGAACTAGAAGAGGAGATATTACAACCATTGCCATAGAAATAAAAAAGATCATAAGGGACTATTATGAACAATTATACACCAACAAATTCAACAACTAGAAGAAACAGACCTATTTCTAGAAACATATAATCTTCCATGACTGAGTCACATAGAAAGCTTGAGCAGACCAATAACAAATAAGGATTAAACCAGTAACCAAAACCCTGCTAACAAAGAAAAGCCTACAGCTAGATGGCTTCACAGCTGAATTCCACCAAAAGTTTAATGAAGAATTAATACCGATCCCTCTTAAATGCTCAAAAAATGAGAGAGAGCACTTCTAAATGGCTTTTATGAAGCCAGACTCACCCTGATAGCAATGCCAGGCAAAGGCATCACAAGAAAAGAAAACTACAGGCCAGTATCTCTGATGAACATGGGAACAAACGTCCTGAATAAAATACAAACAAAGTAAATTTGCAAAATATTAGCAAACCAAATTCAGCATTATACACCTTGACCAAATGGGATTGGTTACTCAGATGCAAGAATGATTCAACATATGTAAATCAATCAATGTGATAAAACACATTAACAGAATGCAGGATAAAAATCACATGATCATCTGAACACATGCAGAAAAAGCGTTTGAAAATACTTAACATCCTTTCAGGATTAAAAAAAACTCAAACAAATTAGGTATAAAAGGAATTTTCCTCAACACAATAAAGGCCATATATGGAAAGCCCACAGAGAACATCATACTCAGTGGTAGAAAACTGAAAGCTTTCTTCTAAGTTCTAGAACAAGGCAAGGATGATCACTCTTGCCAATTCTACAATTCTACTCAAAATAGTACTGGAAGTCCTAACCAGAACAATTAGACAAGAAGAAGAAATAAAAGGTATCCAAATAAAAATGAAGAAACAAAACTATATCTACAGATAACATATTTTTAAATAAAAAATCCTAGAGACTCACAAGAAAATCTGTTAGAACTAAATAATGAATTCAGCAAAGTTGCAGGGTACAAAATCAACATATAAAAATCAGTAGTGTTTCTATACAGTAACAAAAATGTATCAAAAAAATCAAGAAAACCATCCCATTTAAAATGGCATCAAAAATAAAATAATATGAAATAATCTTAATAAAAGAGATAAAAGAACTGCATACAGAAAACTATAAAATATTGATGAAAGAAATTGAAGATGCAAAATAAATGAAATATATCCCATGCTCATGAGTTGAAAAAATTAATATTGTTAAAATGTTCATATACCGAAAGATATCTACATATTCAATGAAATCCCTATGAAATTCCAATGGAATTTTTTACAGAATTAGAAAAAAAAATTCTAAAATTCATGTGGAACCACAAAAGACCTCAAATAGCCGAAGCAATCTTTTTTTTCTCTTTTTTGAGATGGAGTCTCGCTCTGTTGCTCAGGCTAGAGTGCAGTGGTGCGATCTTGGCTCACTGCAACCTCTGCCTCCCGGGTTAAAGCAATTCTTCTGCCTCAGCCTCCCAAGTAGCTGGGACTACAGGTGCATGCCAATATGCCCAACTAATTTTTGTATTTTTAGTAGAAATGGGGTTTCACCATATTGGCCAGGCTGGTCTCAAACTCCTGACCTTGTGATCTGCCTGCCTCAGCCTCCCAAAGTGCTGGGATTACAGGCGTGAGCCACTGCGCCTGGCCTGACAAAGCAATCTTAAAGCTACTACAAAGGTATACTAATCAAAACAGCATGGCACTGGCATAAAAACAGACATAGACCAATGGAAGAAATATAAAGAGAGCTCAGAAATAAATCCACATAATTACGGTTAACTGATCTTCCACAAAGGTGACGAGAACACACAATGGGGAGAGAACATTTTCTTCAATAAGTGATGTTGGAAAAGCTGGATATCCACATCCAATATAATAAAATTGGACCCTTACTTCAACCCATATACAAAAATTAACTCAAAATGATAACTGTTAAGACCTGAAACTGTGAAATTTGTAAAAGAAAATAAAGAGGGAAATTTTTCAACATTGACCTTGGCAATGAATTTTTGGGTATGACAATAAAACACAATCAATAAATACAAGATACACAAGTGGAATTATTCAAACTAGAAATCTTCCACACAGAAAAAAAATCAACATAATGAAAAGGTAAGCTATAAAATGAAAGAAAAATATTTGCAAACCATATACCCAATAAGCAGTTAATATCCAAACAACTCAGAAGAAAAAAAATCTGATTAAAAAATTAGCAAAAGAACTGGCTAGACATTTTTCCAAAGACATACAAATAGCCAATAGGTATATGAGAAGGTGCTCAACATCACTAATCATCAGGGAAATGCAAATAAAAACTACCATGAGATATCACCTCACATCTGTTAGAAAAACTGTTTATCATACACACACACACAAAGACAAACATTGGTGAGGATGAAGAGAAAAGGGAATCCTTGTACACTGTTGGTGGGAATGTAAATCGGTGTGGCTACTATGAAAAACATACAGAAATTCCTAAAAAAATGAAAAGTAGAACTACCATATGATCCAGTAATTCCACTACTGAGTATATATCCAAAGGAATTGAAATGAGGATCTCAAAGTGATGTCTGCATCTCCAGCATTATTCACAATATCCAAGACATGGAAGCAATCTAAATGTATACTGATGGACAACTGAATAAAGAAAACATGATATAAGCATGCAATGGAATATTATTCCGCCTAAAAAAATTAAGGAAACCCTACAATTTGTGACAACATGAATGAACCTGAGGGACATTATGCTAGATGAAATAAGCCAGACACAGAAAGGCAAATATTACAATATCTCCCTTACATAATGAATCTAAAATAGTCAAATTCATAGAAGCAGAGAGTGAAATGGTGGCTGCCAGGGGCTGAAGGGAAAGGAATGGGAATGTATTAATTAGTCTAAGTGTACAAAGTTTTGGTTATACAAGATTTGTAATTCCTAGAGATTACAGCATTGTACCTATAATTGACAATACTGTATTGTGCACTTGCCAATTTGATAAAAGGGTAGATCCTATGTTAAATGTTCTTGTCAAAAATATTAATCATAATAATAAATAATGAGAGCAGGAGGAAAGTTTTGGAGGTGATGGACAGGCTGGTGGCATTGATTGTGGTGGTGGTTTTGTAGGTATATACTTATCTCTAAACTCCAACTTTTACACATAAAATATGTACAGCTTTTTAGATGTCAATAATGTTTCAATAAAGTGCTTTTTAAAATACCTATTATTAGAGTTATACAAAGAATGAAGTGGTCAAGAGAGGTGACTATCAAGCAATAAAGAGATTGCTATGCCAACATATGGCATTTCCAATTTAATTGGTAGATGTAGTAGAGTTATTGAACATTTATAAAATAGAGAAGACTCATGATTAGATTTAGATTTTGGAAAGAGCATCCAGGTAGTGATATAATAAGACACAAAACAAGAGCCAAATAAATCAATTATGGATCCAGTATAAACAAATAGGAAAATATTGCAAAACGTATGATAGATAAAGAGTTACAATGTTAATAAACCAGGAACTCTTGTGTATAATGGAGGGGACCTGAAAGAGCAAACCAATAGAAACATTGGCAAATATGTAAACAGATATTTAACAAAACAAGAAATATAAGTAGTCAAGAAGAGATAATGATACATAAAAAGATATTCAACTCACCATTAATCTCAAATGTGGACATTTAAAAAATGCCATTTTTGTCCAAACAATTGGCATAAACAACAACAGCAAAAACGGGCAACCTGGCATTTATGAAGGTAGGGGAAGGAGGCACTTTCAAACAGTTGCAGAAAATGTAAATTGCTGAAATTCTTCAGAAAGTCAAGTAAAAATTTTGATGCCAAGAGAGTGTTTGGTTCAGAGTGAATTTCTCTGTTTACCTTGTTTCTGCCCTTCCCTAACTGCATTTTGCATATGGCTTTGGCATAGCAGTGCTGCAAACCTACAGTTCCCTAAGATCATTTATGGTAGTTCCTTTTGGCTAAGTGGCCTACTCAGAACAAAGCTGGAGGCATCACGCTACCTGACTTCAAACTATACTACAAGGCTACAGTAACCAAAACAGCATGGTACTGGTACCAAAACAGAGATATAGATCAATGGAACAGAACAGAGCCCTCAGAAATAACGCCGCATATCTACAAATACCTGATCTTTGACAAACCTGAGAAAAACAAGCAATGGGGAAAGGATTCCCTATTTAATAAATGGTGCTGGGAAAACTGGCTAGTCATATGTAGAAAGCTGAAACTGGATCCCTTCCTTACACCTTATACAAAAATTAATTCAAGATGGATTAAAGACTTAAACGTTAGACCTAAAACCATAAAAACCCTAGAAGAAAACCTAGGCATTACCATTCAGGACATAGGCATGGGCAAGGACTTCATGTCTAAAACACCAAAAGCAATGGCAACAAAAGCCAAAATTGAAAAATGAGGTCTAATTAAACTAAAAAGCTTCTGCACAGCAAAAGAAACTACCATCAGAGTGAACAGGCAACCTACAAAATGGGAGAAAATTTTCATAACCTACTCATCTGACAAAGGCCTAATATCCAGAATCTACAATGAACTCAAACAAATTTACAATAAATAAACAAACAACCCCATCAAAAAGTGGGCAAAAGACATGAACAGACACTTCTCAAAAGAAGACATTTATGCAGTCAAAAAACACGTGAAAAAATGCTCACCATCACTGGCCATCAGAGAAATGCAAATCAAAACCACAATGAGATACCATCTCACACCAGTTAGAATGGCAATCATTAAAAAGTCAGGAAACAACAGGTGCTGGAGAGGATGTGGAGAAATAGGAACACTTTTACACTGTTGGTCGAGTGTAAACTAGTTCAACCATTGTGGAAGTCAGTGTGGCAATTCCTCAGGGATCTAGAACTAGAAATACCATTTGACCCAGCCATCCCATTACTGGGTATATACCCAAAGGACTATAAATCATGCTGCTATAAAGACACATGCACACATATGTCTAATTGCACATTTTCAGCATATGAGTTGATCAGTGTTGTTTTAGAGGTAGACCTTTTTGGTTGAGCCTCTTGTGTGCACAGGAAGATTATCTGATACAAACCACACCACCTCCTCTTTCAAACTGCCTTGTAGGTTGGGAGAGTTTCCCAACAAGGCACCAAGGACAAAGGTTGCCTGAAATACCACTTGGAGGGGCAGTAATGTGTAGCGCTTATGAGGACGGGGCCAAAGGTTTCTGCCACTTAGCTGTGTGACCTTGGGCAATACTTAAGTTCTCTGGCCTGTTTCCTCAATGGGGATATTGATAGTCACCTACATGATCGTGTTGTTGCAAGAACCACTGGCACCCAATAGATGTTTTCTGTCATTTTTACTATAAATAATCTAAGATAAAAATGATATTGGCCTAAAATATGGCATAGAAAATGAAGGAGTGAGGGGTTATGGAAAAGAAAGCTTAAATGGGGCCTTGGCCATGCTTGTTTTTCTTTTTTTTTTTTTGTTTTTTTGAGACGGAGTCTAGCTCTGTCTCCCAGGCTGGAGTGCATGCAGTGGCGCCATCTCGGCTCACTGCAAGCTCCGCCTCCCGGGTTCACCCCATTCTCCTGCCTCAGCCTCCCGAGTAGCTGGGACTACAGCGCCCACCACCAAGCCCGGCTAATTTTTTGTATTTTTAGTAGAGACGGGGTTTCACCATGTTAGCCAGGATGGTCTCAAACTCCTGAACTCAGGTGATCCGCCTGCCTCTGCCTCCCCAAGTGCTAGGATTACAGGCGTGAGCCACCGCGCCCGGCTGGCCATACTTGTTTTTCTTTAAGTGTAGTCTGAAAGTGTTCAGACAAAAACAAGAGCCATTTAGTTTGTAATATTTGTATGTTTGTTTATAACAGTTCTCAAGAAAGTATGCTTTTCTGAGAACTCAAATGCGTGATAATTCCCTCAGGAATTGAGATTTGGCAAATCTATATTTTCAGTAACCTAGTGTGATCTCTTTTGTAATATTTTACAATCTTTAAAACCTTTAGTCTCACTTGTATCATGTTGCTTTTGTGATGTTCAGACTACGAGTTAATCTTGTCACTTAATTCATAACAAGCCCATAAATCTTGCTCAGCATTCAGAAAATGACACTTTTAGCACATTTCCCTATTTCAGGGACCAGGGGGTACAGTTTGATCCTAAATGAATAAGATGCAGTACAAACTGTGTGGATTCCATCTCTGTGGATTCTCCTACTCTTGCTTCCTTCTAATATTTCATTCATTTTCAAAGTTAGACCTGTCTTCAATTCCCCTTCAGCTCCTGGCACTCTTGACTGATTTCTTTTGAGTCTACTACTTTCTGTCTTTCCCAGTGAAAGCTATAAGACTTTGTCAAGCTGTGCTCTAAGTTTATTTCCCCAAAGCCTTTCAACTGTGTCTGCGTCAAGGCCTCAGGCATCAGGTGTTTCTCCTTTAGTGGAATGCCAATTTTAAAGAGACGAAAAGCATAGTATGGAACCCTTTTAATATTTGGTTTCATGACTAGATATGCCAATCTCATTGGAACAAACTTGGAATATCATTAATTAAAACCAACTTATCACCCAGTTTATTTATAGTATATATGAATAATATTTGCAGCTCACTGGAGGGATAGTATATTAATTTGGACTTTTCTTAACCTCAAATTACAGCAGCCCACTCCAGCCAACTTAAGAAACCCAGGATTCAAGGATGTTTCATAGAATACACGGCCAGAGAATCAGACAAGCCTTTGAAATGAACAGGATTTCTTTAACCTCTCCTTCCTTCTGCCAGTTTGTTTTATTTCTCTCTCACATTCATCAACTCTCACCTTCCTAGCCACCCAGAAACCCTGATTTGTCTAATTTGTAAACACTGTGGAAAATATGGCCACCAAGGACATATCTAATACTAAATACCCAGAGAAAAGTCACCAATGCCTCCTACCTTCCAGCTTATGTCAAAGAGATAACAGCTCTTGAATAAATAACCACTGTTAAACAGATGTTGTATGTGGTAAAAGCATTGTGGCCTAGGAGAACTACGTTAACTAAGTAGAAAGACTGTAGAAAGGGCAGAACCTAGTAAAGTGTAATTGAGAAGGCAACCAACAGGAAGGCTGCACTACTTCCTTTAAAAGAAGAATAACCCCTGAGGAAGATGTTGCCTTGTGTAGTGTATGGCTATTGTGTTGGCTGCCATCCTCTACTAATTAATAAAGGGAAAAAAATCAATCAAGATCTCGATGGAACAAAATAGAGAACCCAGAAATTGAATTACATAAATATAGTCAACTGATCTTTGAAAGAGCCCAAGGCAATGCAATGGAGCAAATACATTCCTTTCAAAAAATGGTGTTAGAACCACTGGACAAAAAAGTGCTTAGACACCAAAAAAAAAAAAAAAAAAAAAAGAAAAGTGGCTAAACACAGACCTTATACCCTTAACAAAATTTAACTCAAAAGTGGATCATAGGCCTGGCACGGTGGCTCACACCTGTAATCCCAGCACTTTGGGAGGCCGAGGCAGGCAGATCACGAGGTCAGGAGATCGAGACCATCCTGGCTAACACGGTGAAACCCCGTCTCTGCTAAAAATACAAAAAATTAGCTGGGCACAGTGGCTACACAGCTGGCGCCTGTAGTCCCAGCTACTCAGGAGGCTGAGGCAGGAGAATGGCGTGAACCTGGGAGGCGGAGCTTGCAGCGAGCAGAGATTGCGCCACTACACTCCAGCCTGGGGGAGAAAATCTGTATGACCTTAGTTATGGCAAAGACTTTTTAGATACAGCACCAAAGAGACAATCCATGAAAGAAATAATTGGTAAGCTAGACTTCATTAAAATTAAAAGTTTCTGCAAAGTACAATATTGTAAGAATGCAAAGTACAATATTGTAAGAATGAGAAGTCAAGCCACAGACTGGGATACAATATTTACAAAAGAGATATCTGATAAACGAATGCTATTCAAAGTATACAAAAACACTTAAAATTCAACAATAAGAAAATACCCCAGCTTAAAAATGAGCCAAAAACTTAGCATTTTGCCTCACCAAAGAACATGGAAAATAAGCAAATAAAGATATACTCTATATCATATGTCATCGGGGGATGCAAATTAAAATAACAGTGAGATACTACTACACATCTATTAGAATGGCCAAAATTCAAATGCTGACACCACCAAAAGCTGACAAGGATGTAGAGCAAAAGGAACGATCATTCATTCCTGGTGGGAATGCAAAATGGTGCAGCTCAGCCTGATAACTTCAGTCAGTGGCAGCTCTGCTTTTCTCTCGGGAGAAAGTCCCAGAGATGACCCACAGGCTTTCTTTCATTGCCACTGCAGTGGTCCCACCTTTGCTGCCCTTGGCCTGGGGAAAAAAACAAAGGCCCTGATTGCTTTGCTGGTAACTCTAGCATGCCACAGCCACCATTTAGTGAAGAGTCCAGTCCCTCTTTTCCTGTGAGACCCCGAGTCCCTGCTCTTCACCAGGCAGGGCCTCCAGTTTGGAAATTAAACAATCTGTTCTTGAATGACTTTGGGATAAAAAATAAAATTAAAGCAGAAATCAAGAAATTATTTGAAACTAATGAGAACAAAGATACAACATACCAGAATCTCTGGGATGCAGCTAAAGCAGTGTTAAGAGGAAAGTTGATACTAAAAATTTTTACTAAACACCCACATCAAAAAGTTAGAAAGATCTAAAGTTAACAAACTAACATCATACTAGTGGAACTAGAAAACAAGAGCGAAGCAACTTCTAAGCTAGCAAGGAAAAGAAGTAACCAAAGTCAGGACTAAACTGAATAAAAAGGAGATGAGAAAAAACATACAAAAAATCAACAACACCAAAAATTGGATCTTTGAAAGCATAAATAAGATTGATCAGCTGCTAGCTAGGCTAATAAAGAAAAAAGAGAGAAGGTCCAAATAAACACAATCAGAAATGACAAAGGGGGCATTACCACCAACCCCACAGAAATACAAAAAACCCTCAGAGAATATTATAAACACTTCTATGCACACAAACTAGAAAATTTAGAGGAAATGGGTAAATTCCTGGAGACATACAACCTCCCACAACTGAACCAGGAAGAAATTGAAACCCTGAACATACCAACAAGTTCTGAGATTGCATCAGTAATAAGAAACTTACCAGCTAGAAAAAGCCCTGGACCAGACAGATGCACAGCTGAATTCTACCAACATATATAGAAGAGCTGGTATCAATTCTACTGAAACTATTCCAAAACATCAAGGAGGGACTCCTCTCTAACTCATTCTGTGAGACCAATGTCATTCTGATACCAAAACCTGGCAGAGACACACACAAAAAAGAAAACTTCAGGCCAGTATCCCTGATGAACATAGACACAAGAATTCTCAACAAATACTACCGAAGTGAATCCATCAGCACATCTAAAAGCTAATCCACCAAATTCAAGTAGGTTTTATTTCTGGGATCCTAGGTTGGTTCAACATATGCAAATTAATAATGTTATTCATCACATAAAGAGAACTAAAACAAAAACCATATGATCATCTCAATGGACACAGAAAAGTCTTTTGATAAAATTAAACATTCCTTAGTATTAAAAACCCTCAACAAATTAGGCATCAAAGGAACATACCTGAAAATAATAAAAGCCACCTATGACAAACCCATAGTCAAAATCATACTGAATGGGAAACAGCTCAAACCATTCCTCTTGAGAATTGGAGCAAGACAAGAATAACCACTGTCACTATTCCTAGTCAACCTAGTGCTGGAAAACCTCACCAGAGCTATCAGGCAAGAGAAGGAAATCAAAGGCATCCTAATAGGAAGAAAGGAAGTCAAACTATCTTTGTTTGCAGATGATATAATTTTATAACTAGAAAACCCCATAGTCTCTGCCCAAAGACTCCTTGATCTGATAAACAACTTCAGCAAAGTTTCAGGTTACAAAATCAACGTACAAAAATTGATAGCATTTCTATACACCAATAGTGTCCAAGCTGACAGCCAAATTAAGAATGTAATCTCATTCACAATAGTCACAAACAGAATAAAATACCTAGTGATATGGTTTGGCTGTGTCGCCACCCAAATCTCATCTTGAATTGTAGCTCCCACAATTTTCACGTGTCATGGGAGGGGCACAGTGGGAGGTAATTGAATCATGGGGGTGGGTCTTTCCCATGCTGTTCTCATGACAGTAAGTCTGACAAGATCTTAAAGGTTTATAAAGAGGAGTAAGATGTGACTTGCTCCTCCTTGCCTTCCACCATGACTGTGAGTCGTCCCCAGCCACATGCAATTGTGAGTCTATTATACCTCTTTTTCTTTATAAATTACCCTGTCTTGGGTATGTCTTTATCAGCAATGTGAGAATAAACTAATATGCCTAGGAATACAGCAAACCAGGGAGGCAAAATATCTCTACAATAAGAATTAAAAAACATTGCTGAAAGAAATCAGAAATGACACAAATAGAAAAACATTTCATGCTCATGGACAGGAACAATCAATATTGTTAAAATGGCCATACTGCCCAAAGCAATTTATAAATTCAATGCTCTTTGTATCAAACTATCAACAACACTCTTCACAGAACTAGAAAAAAAAGAATTTTAATTTACATAGAAACAAAAACAAGAGTAAATAGCCAAGGCAATCCTAAGCAAAAAGAACAAAGCTGAAGGCATCACATTACCCAGCTTCAAAGTATGGTACAGGGCTACGGTAACCAAAACAGCATGATATTGGTACAAAAACAGACATGTAAACCAATGGAACAGAAGAGAGCCCAGAAATAATGCCACACACCTATGACCATCTGATCTTCAACAATCCTGACAAAAATAAGCAATGGGAAAAAAGACTTTCTATTCAATAAATGGTGCTTGAATAATTGGCCAACCATATACAGAAGATTGGAACTGGACCCCTTCCTTATACCATATACAAAAATCAACTCCAGATGGATTAAATACTTAAATGTAAAACCCAAAAACCATAAAAATCCTGGAAGACAACCTAGAGAATACCATGCGGGACATAGGAACAAGCAAAGATTTCATGACAAAGATACCAAAGCAAGCACAACCAAAGCAAAAATTGATAAATGGGATCTAATTAAACTTAAGAGCTTCTGCACAGCAAAAGAAACTAACAACAGAGTAAACAGAAAACCTACAGAATGGGGGAAAAATTTTGCAAACTATGCATCTGACAAAACTCTAATATCCAGCATCTATAAGAAACTTAAGTTTACAAGAGAAAAACAGACAACGCCACTAAAAAGTGGGCAAAGGACATGAAGACAGTTTTCAGAAGAAGACATAGATGCAAACAAGCATATGAAGAAAAGCTCAATATCACTGACCATTAGAGAAATGCACATCAAAACCTCAATGAGATACCATCTCACAACAGTCAGGATGGTAACTACTAAAAGATCAAAAAATAACAGATGCTGGTGAGATTGGGTAGAAAAGGGAACACTTATACACTGTTGGTGGGAGTGTAAATTAGTTCAACCATTGTGGAAAGCAGTATGGCAATTCCTCAAAGAGCCAAAAGCAGAATTACCATTTGACTCAACAATACCATTACTGAGTATATATCCAGAGGAATATAAATCATTCTACCATAAAGACACATGCACGCAAATGTTCATTGCAGCACTATTCACAAAGCAAAGATATGGAATCAACCTAAATGGCCATCAACGACAGATTAAATTAAAACGTGTGGTACATATACACTGTGGAATACTATGCAGCCATAAAAAAGAATGAGATCATGTCTTTTGCAGAAACATGGATGGAGCTGAAGGCTATTATCCTTAGCAAACTAATCCAGAAACAGTAAATCAAATACTGAATGTTCTCACTTATAACTGGGATCTAAATGATGAGAACTCATGAAGAAAAAGAAAGAAACAACAGACACTGGAGTCTACTTGAGGGAGGAGGGTAGGATAAGGGAGAAAAGCAGAAAAGATAACTGTTGGGTACTGGGCTGAATACCTGGGTGATGTAATAATCTGTACAACAAACCTCTATGACAAGAGTGGTACTAGGGAGGTTAAAGTAAGGGAGGAGAATATATTTTATTACCTTTACTTGGAGTTGAACCAATGTTTTTGGTTCCTAAGATCAATAGATAACTCCTATCCTTTAAAAGTTGAGAAAGCCATATTGTTAAATATGGGGGCATGAGTTAGCAGTTCTTGCATACTTTCTTGGTAGGTAAGAAGCTGTAGACTTCTATTATTAGATCCACAATCTAATGTTTAATTAAACTATAACTACAGTATGTACATCCCCAAATGATTTGGGGGTTTAAGGATAATAGGAGAAGCAGTGCTAGGTGTATTAATATTAGGGTATTTTTCTCACAATGAAAGAGGGTTTAATATTGTTGATGTGATACGTGAAGACCCCTCATTGTGTGGTGATTAGTATGTACAGAAAGTAGAGGGCTGTGATTAACATGTTAAGTCCCATAAGAATGATGGTGAGATTGGATCAAGAGAATAAGGCTATGGATATGAAGAGTTCCGCTACTAAATTAATGGTAGGGGGTAGGGCAAGGTTGGTGAGGCTAGCTAAAAGTCATCACATGGCCATTAGTGGGAGTAGTGTCTGAAGGCCTTGAGTAAGTAGTATAGTTTGGCTCTGAACTCATTCATAGTTCAAGTTTGCTAGGCGGAATAGTAGGGACAAAGTTAGTCCGTGGGCAATTATAGGGGTGGTTGCACCTATAAAGCTTCAGGGGTTTGAATGAGAACAGCCACAATAACAAGCGCCATGTAGTTTACAGGGGAGTAAGCAATGAGCGATTTTAGATCAGTTTGGCGTAGATAAATGGAGCTTGTCATAATTATTCTCATAGGGATATTATAAGGAAGGGTAGGCTGTGAATTCTGTCAAGGGGTTAAGGATTAGAGTGACCTGTATCATTCCGTAGCTGCCTAATTTTAGGAATACGGCTGCAAGTACCATTGAGCCGGCAATGGGGGCTTCTATGTGGGCTTTAGCAAGTCATAGGTGGAGTCTGTAGAGAGGCATTTTTACCATAAATGCCACGATGCATGCTAGTCATAGAAGGTTGTTAGATCCAGAGTTGTTATTTCTTGAGTAGTATATATGGTGATTAACATATTTAGTGAGCCTGAGGCATTTTGTGTATAGATAAGTGCTACAAGTAAAGGTAAGGATCCTACCAGTGTATAAGATAAGAAGTACAAGCCTGCTTTCAGGCATTCTGCTTGATTACCTCAACCAGTAATAATAATTAGGGTGGGAGCTAGTGTGGCTTCACAGATAATACAAAATATGATTAGTTCTGTGGCCGTGAATGTTATAATTAAAAATATCTGTATCCCTGCTAGTACTGATATATAAAATTTTTTTTCCTGGGAACGATTCTTTGGATAGATTATATTGGCTTGCTAAAATTATAAGGGATAGTAGCCAGGCTGTTAGGATTAGAAGGGGTGATGACAGTGGATCAGAACAAAAAAAAGTTAATGAGAAGTTGAAGAGTTATCATTAAATTGGTTGAAGAATAGCAGGCTGATGAGACAGATAAGTAAACTGTGGAAGCTGTATTAATTCAGATTGTAGAGTTCTTAGAGCATCACATTATTGGGAGTAATATAATTGTTGGGATAATAATTTTTAGCATTGGAGTAAATTTAGGTTTGTACATAATCTAGGCCAAAGGTGTTGGAGACTGTAACTAGTAAGGCTAAACCTACAGCAGCTTCGCAGGCTGCAAAAACTAAGAGGATAATAGGTATTATGGATGCCAGCATGAAATGTATATTTAAAATTACGAGAGTACTTATAATAAATATTGATAGTATTGGCTGGGCGCCATGGCTCATGCTGCAATCCCAGCACTTTGGGAGGCCAAGGCAGGTAAATCACTTGAGGTCAGGAGTTCGAGACCAGCCTGGCCAACATGATGAAACCCCATCCCTATTGAAAATACAAAAACTTGCCAGGCATGGTGGTGTGCGCCTGTAATCCCAGCTACTCAGGAGGCTGAGTCAGGAGAATTACTTGAACCCGGGAGGCGGAGGTTGCAGTGAGCTGAGATCGGGCCACTGCACTCCATCTCAAAAGATAGATAGATAGATAGATGCTAGATGATAGATAGATAGATAGATAGATAGATAGATAGATAGATAGATAAATAGATACATGATAGATAGATGATAGATAGGTACATAGATACATAGATAGACAGGTAGAAAGAAAGTATTATGCCTTCTAGGCATAGTAGGGACAATATCAGGTGGGATTGATAGACTATTACCCCGACTAAAGACATAATAAAAGCTAATATAATATTAATATAAATAGAAGGCATTTGGTAATTATGATATATCATAATCTAAAGAATCGAAATCATTTATTTTGACTTAAACTATTCACCAACTCAATTCATTCTAATCCTTTTTGGGTTCATTTGTAGGCTAGACTGAAGATTAAAATGATAATTAATATGAGAGCTGTACTAATTATTAATTTTAGGTCAGTTGTCTGAAAAGCTCATGGTGGGAGTAGTAGTAGGGTGATTTCTAGATCAAAGAGGAGAAATGTGATGGCTACTAGGAAGCACTTTATGGAAAAGGAGAGGCAGGCAGAGCCTATCAGGTCAAAGCCGCATTCATAGGGGCTGGATTTTTCTGTGTAGATATTAAGTTGTTGGAGTCAAAATGCAATTGTTACTAGTAAGAGTGTTAGTAAGGTGTCAGTTGCTAAGGCTAATGTTAGATTAATAACTCTTTTTCAGGTAATGCTGAAGCTAATTGATTGGAAGTCAATTGTACTGTTATACTAAGAGTATGATCCTTGTTAATAGATAGAAACATATAGGAATAGTCATATTACATCTACAAAGTGCCAGTATCAGACTGAGGCTTCAAATCCACAATGGCAGTTAGATGTATACTGAAATTTTAGTTGGCGGAGTAGGCAGACAGTAAGAAATGTTGATCCAATAATAACGTGAAGCCCGTGAAAACCTGTGGCTATGAAGAATGTTGAGCTGTAAACTCCAGCAGAGATAGTGAAAGGGACTTCAAAATATTCTGAGGCTTGTAGAGGTGTAAAGTAAATGCCTAGGGCAATTGTGATACACAGTGCCTGAAGTATGTATTTTTGATTACCTTCTATCAAGCTTTGGTGAGCCCAAGTAATTGAAACCCCGGATGCAAGTAAAACAGATGTATTAAGAAAAGGGACTTCTAAGAGGCTAGGGGGAGAGATGCTTGTTGGAGGCCAGCATCCTCCTAATTCTGGAGTGGGGGCTGGGCTAGAGTGATAGAATGCTCAGAAGAAGCTGGCGGAAAAAGAACACCTCTGAAATAATGAGTAAGATTTTTCTGTATGAAAGGCCTTTTTGAACAGTTGATGTATGGTGGCCTTGGAATGGGCCTTCTCGGATAATATCGCATCATCATTGATATATTGTTAATGTATTGGTTAGTAGCCCAAAGTCAGGAAGGCAGTTGAGTTAAAATGAAATCATATGGCTAGGCCAGAAGTTATAAGTAGTGCTGAAAGGACTCCTGTTAGTGGTCAGGGGGCTAGGGTTAACTATGTGGTAAGCCTGAGTTTGGAGGGTCATTATGTGTTGCTGTGTAAGTAGAGGCTCACTAGGAGTGTAAAGACATAGGTATGAATGAGGGCTATGGCAAACTTGAGGATGGTTAGTAAAACTAGAATAATAAATGTAATTGAAGCTGTCGGTAGGCTAATAGTTGATAATACTAGTGTAGCTCCTCCAATTAAATGCATTAGTAGGTGGCCAGCTGTATTGTTGGCTGTTAATCGTACAGCTAGTGCTATTGGTTGGATGAATAGGCTAAGTTTCAATGATTACCAATATAGGGATAAGTGGAATCAGTGTGCTTGTGGTAGGAAGTAGGCTACAGAAGCTTTAGTCTTAAAGCGGAAGCAGTGACTACTACTCCAGCTCACAAAGGAATTGCTATTTCTAAGTTTATTGATAGTTGAGTAGTTGGTGTAAATGAATGGGATAGAAGTCCAAGAAGATTAGTTGAACCAATAAAGAGAATCAGGGAAATTAACATAAGGGATCAGGTTTGTCCTTTGATATTATGCATTGATACTATTTGTTTCAATACAAGTTGGATTAATCACTGTTGAATAGAGGTCAGTCAGTCATTGACTGAACAATTAGGGGTGGGAAATATAATATAAAAATCCCAGTATTTTCTGGGCTAAAATGATTACTATTTATATCCTGACAAGGTTTTGCCCTGATACCTACATAACACTTCAGACCCCTACCCACTTTAAAGAGAGTATACTCTAGATGCTATAATTTTAAACTAATTATAGCTTCAACTACAAATGGCTTTTTAGCTAAACCTTCAATTAGTGCAATTTTAGAAATGGTCAATTAAAAAAATCAAAAACTAGACTTTCTGGGCTAAAATGCTCACTTTCCATTTACATCCTGACAAGGTTTTGACTTAATACTTACCAAACACTTCAGACCCCCTCCCTGAGCTCCAGTGTACTTCGCCTAGTTAATGTAGCTTAACTACTAAAGAAAGGCACTGAAAATGCTCAGAAGATTTCACGTAACTCCATAAACACATAGGTTTGGTCCTGGCCTTTTTGTTAGTTCTTAGTAAGATTATACATGCAAGCATCCCCGCCCCAGTGAGAATGCCCTCTAGATTATCCAAATCAAAAGGAGCAGGTATCAAGTATGCATAAGTGCAGCTCACAACACCTAGGTCAAACACACCCCCACTGGAAACAGCAGTGATAAAAATTAAGTGATAAACGGAAGTTTGACTAAGCCCATGTGCCTTTATCATTAGCCTCATCCTTGCAACCATATTTATATACACAGGCCAAAAAGCTGTCTTCTCTAACTGGCACTGGATAACAATCCAAACCCTAAAACTCTCACTCAACTTCAAACTGGACTACTTCTCTATAATATCCATTCCAGTGGCACTATTCATTACATGATCCATCAGAGAATTTTAAATGCGGTAGATACACTCAGATCCCAACGTGAACCAATTTTTCAAGTACTTACTCATTTTTCTCATTACCATATTAATTCTGGTTACTGCCAAAAACCTTTTCCAACTTTTTATCGGGTGAGAAGCCGTATGGTTTATATCTTTCCTATTAATCAGCTGATGATATGGCCGAACAGATGCTACTATAGCAGCCTTTCGGGCAATCCTATATAACCGCATCGGTGACACTGGCTTTGGTTTAGCAATAGCATGAGTCCTCCTATTCTCCAACACATGAGAATTTCAACAAATGTTTATTTTAAATCCCAACCCCAGTATCTTTCCAATAATTGGTCTTCTGGCAGGGGCTGGAAAATCAGCCCAATTTGGCCTCCATCCTTGACTTCCATCAGCTATAGAAGGCCCAACACCAGTCACAGTTCTGCTCCATTCTAGCACAATAGTTGTAGCAGGGGTTTTCCTACTTATCCAATTTCACCCTTTAACAGAAACAACTTAATCATTCAAACCCTCAGATTATGCCTAGGAGCTATCACTACACTATTTATAGCCATCTGTGCCCTGACACAAAATGATGTTTAAAAAATTGTAGCATTATCCACCTCAAGTCAATTAGGCTTTATAACATTCACATTTGGTATTAATCAACCTCACTAAGCATTTCTTAACATTTGTACCCATGCTTTCTTCAAAGCCAAATTGTTCATATGCTCTGGATCTGTTATCCATTAACTTCAGTGATGAACAGGATATCCGAAAAACAGGTGGGTTATTTAAGGCCCTACCCTTCACCTCTTCCTCACTTATTTTTTTTTCTTCCTCACTTATTATTGGCAGCCTTGCACTCACAGGAATACCTTTCCTCATAGGTTTCTACTCCAAAGATCTCATTATCAAAACTGCAAACGTCGTGTACCAACGCATGAGTCCTTTTAATTACTCTCATTGACACCTCCCTAATAGCTGTCTACAGCACCCAAATAATTTTTTTCACACTGTTAGGACAACTTCACTTCACAACTTCAATTATCATCAACAAAAACAATCCCCTCCTAATTAATGCAATCTAACACCTGACAATTGGTAGCATTTTCGCCAGATTCTTCATCTCCAGCAACATTACTCTAATATCAATTCCCCAAATAACTATGCCACTCCACCTAAAACTTGCAGCCCTTGGTGTAAGTATTTTAGGCATTTCACTAGTAACAGAACTTAACCTCATGACTAAAAACCTTAAACTTAAGCATCCATCACAAACATTTAATTTCTCAAACATATTAGGGTTTTATCCAATCACAATACATTGTGCAACTGCCCCCCACACTCAAATCTACATGCAAGTCAAAATCTAGCCTCCATTCTACTAGACTTAATTTGATTAGAAAAATCAATGCCAAAAACACTGCTCAAGTCCAAATTTTAGCCTCCACCATTGAATCTACCCCGAAAGGCCTAATTAAACTCTATTTTTTCTCCCTCCTTATTCCATCTCTCCTAACTCTATTCTTAATTATTTAATCTATTCCCCAGAGTAATCTCAATTGCAACATACATACTAACAAACAGAGATCAACCAGCAACTACCACCGATCAATATCCATAACTATACAAGGGAGCTACACCTATAGAATCCTCACGTAATAACCCTACTTCCTCACCCTCAAAAATTACCCAATTTTCTATATTATTAAAATCAATTACAATTTCCACCTCATCATATTCAACTATTCACCCAACCACCAACAATTCTAACAACAATTCTAATAGTAAAGCACCTAAGATATATTATATTATTTATTCGAGGGAATGCCATGTTTGGTGCACCGATTCTCAGGGGAACTAACCAGTTGCCAAAGCCCTCATTTATGATTGGTATTAATATGAAGAAAATTATAACAAATGTGTCAGCAGTGACGATAACATTATAAATCTGATAATGTCCTGGTAGAGTTCCTGTTTGACCCAGTTCTGCTCGAATTAGGAGACTTAGGGCCATTGCCATAGCATTCCTTATGCTCATTGAACGAAAGATCTTAGGCTATGTACAAATACGCAAAAGACCCCACACTGTAGGGACTACTTCAGCCCTTTGCAGATGCAATAAAACTTTGTATTAAAGAACGCTGTGACTTTTAGCATCCACTATTCCCCTATACGTTATTACTCCAACCCTAGCCTTATCTAATCCCCTCCTTATATGAATCCCTTTCCCCATACCATATCCTCTAACTAATCTTAACATAGGTCTCTTATTTATACTAGCCACATCAAGCCTAGCTGTCTACTCTATCTTATGACCAAGATGAGCATCCAATTCGAAATATGCACTAATTGGTACACTATGAGCAGCAGCCCAAACAATTTCATATGAAGTTACCCTAGCTATTATCCTCCTATCAGTTCTGTTAATAAGTGGTTCATTCAATTTATCTATACTCATCCCAAGAGTTTATTCTGACTACTCCTACCATCGTGACCTCTAACCATATGATTTATTTCCATGCTAGCAGAAACTAACAGAGTCCCATCTGACTTGACAGAAGGGGAATCAGAATTCGTTCCAGGCTTTAATGTGGAATATGCTGCAGGTCCATTTGCCCTATTCTTTATGTGGCATATATAAATATTATTATAATAAATGCCCTAAGCACTATTATCTTCCTAGGAGCATTATATGATATTCATACACCAGAACTCTATACTATAATTTTCATCACCAAAACCCTCCTTTTAACAACCTTATTTTTATGACTTCAAGAGTCATACCCTTGATTCTGTTACGATCAACTTGTACATCTTCTATGAAAAAATGTCTTAGCATTCACACTAGTGCTTTGCAGATGACACATCTCTATGCCTGTCCTAATATCTAGTACCCCACCTCGAACATAAGAAATATGTCGGACAAAAGAGTTACTTTGATAGACTAAATTATAGAGGTTTAAGTCCTCTTATTTGTAGAATTATAGGAATCGAACCTACCCCTGAGAATCCAAAATTCTCTGTGCTACCTAATACACCACATCCTATACTAAGGTCAGCTAAACAAGCTATTGGGCCCCTACCCCGAAAATGTTGCTTTTTATCCTTTCAGTACTAATTAACCCTCTAACCCAACTTATTATCTCTTTCACTATCTTTACGGGAAATCTCATTACAATATTAAGCTCACACTGACGTCTCATCTGAATAGGCCTAGAAATAAACATACTAGCCACTATCCCAATTTTAACTTAAAAAGAAAATCCACTCCACAGAAGAAGCTACCAAATATTTCCTCACACAAGCAACTGCATCTATAATTCTCATAATAGGAATCATTTCCAATATGCTATTCTCTGGACAATGAACCATCATAAACTCAATCAATCAACTATCAACCTTGATAATAATAATGATCTTAATAATAAAACTAGAAATGTCTCCTTTTCACTTTGGGTCCCTGAAGTAAGTTGAACTAAAATTCTGTCTTGGACAACCAGCTATCCCCAGCCTCGACAGGTTTATCACCACTACTCATGAATCCTCTCACTATTTTGCTACATAGATTAGTGTGCTCATTTAGCTATTCTTGAGTAGCTCGTCTGGTTTTGGGGATCCTGGCTAGCGTTCTCTCTGTGAAGTCTGTTCTGGTTAATTCATTATGCAAAGGTGCAAGCGTTTGTCTTTGCTTTTTGATGCTTGGTGTGATTATTTCATCTTTCCCTTGTGGTACTATAGCTTTTGCACCAGAGTAACTACTATCACCTGTACTTTTGTCCCGGGTAAGTGATTTGGTTTAAGGAGATCTGGTAATACAGTTTAATAAAGTTGGGGCTAGAGTTGCCTCAAAGTGGTCAGGTGATATGAAATCTTCCGGGTGTAAGCCGGGTGCTTTAAGTTAAGCTACACTTTGGTTAGTCCAAGAGCACTTTCCAGTACGCTTACCATGTTACAACTTATCTCCTCTATACATATGTAGGAAAATTATTGGTAATAGTGGTCTCTAGACAAGTATTTGAGAGGGCGATGGGTGGTGTGTGCATGCTTCACGGCCTCATTCAATGAAGCACTCTGTTCTTCATTTACCGCTAAATCCTCTTTGAATCTTTAGGTTTCATTATGGTTATTGTAAAATTTTCGGGAAATAGAAAATGTAGCTCATTTCTTACCATTTCATAGGCAACACCTTGACCTAATGTTTTTATGTACATACTTGTGCTTACTCTAAGGCCTTTTTAGGGTTTGCTGAAGATGGTGGTATATAGGCTGAGTGGCGAGAGATGGCGAGGTATATCGGAGTTTACCGATTATACAACAGGCTCCTCTAGAGGGATATAAAGCACTGCCAAGTCCTTTGAGTTTTAAGCTGTTGTTTGTAGTACTCTGGCGAGTAGTTTTGTTAATTTAACTATCTGGGTTTAGGGCTAAGCACAGTGAGGTATCTAATCCCAGTCTGGGTCTTAGCTATATGTTTTCAGGATATCAAACTCACTTTTGTAGCTTATGTAACAAGTCTTCACATGTACCTCTGAGCCTAAATAAAAGTTTTTAAAAGTCTATTAAAAGTTAAGTTCTATATAAAAGAAAATCTTTGTGTTTTTAAAAAATATAAAATACTTTTTACTTAACTTTTACATTGTTAAGAAGACATAAAACTTTATTAAATAAATTAAGAAAATATTTGTTGCTGCCAGTTTAAAATGGCAGACTGAAAAGATGTAGTTACCTCTTCAATGTCTCTCAGTTTTATTTAACTTAGGGTAAAGACATATAATATGAGATAAATTTATAACCAAAGTACGTTTTGGAGCAGAGAGCCCATCCCTGGACCAAATATTCTGATGGCTCTTTCATAGCTAAAAGTAGAAGGAGTTATAAAGGCACATAAACTATGCAGGCAGATGAAGACATAGGTCAGAAGCTGAATAGGAACAGACGTCAGCATTGGTGGAAACTGCTCTTTCTAGAGAATCTAGAGGAGGCCGATGCTAAGAACTAGCAGGCCCAGAGAGTAAGCAATAACTAAAGAGAAGCAATCAAAGGAAATTATTTTAAAACTGTCCACATCACGGTATCTTGGCTCCTCCCAACAGACTCCCATTGCCATGTGAATGATGTCTGACAGGTCTTGCATGTTCCCTGAGCATAAACCAAAGAACTGTTTCCTAAAGAAATTGAATCAACTGCTTGGGAATAGCAAATGTTCCAAGTGCTAGATTTTCCATCTAAAGTTACCTTGATTTTCTCCAGGGTATCCCATGGGCAGACTGTCTGCGTGCTTCTCATCTATGTACCATCTATATACATTCAAATGAAACCTGCTGATTACCAGTAACATCACACACAAACACAAACAATACACAACACACACATATACTTCCCTCTTAGATAAAAAAAGAAATGCTTGTTAGTTTGATATACAAACATATCTAAATAGCAGCAGTGACACTTATCCCTGCAATTTAAGTGAATCAACACTTTTTTATTCATAAAGATGAATGGAAATCCAATTATCATGAGACATTTGGGAAAATCATTGTGTAATAAAAAGTATCAAGAAGAATAAGACAAATAACTGATCCTAGAGAAAACTCAATTAATAAGGAAATAAAACATAATACATAAATAATAAATAATAATAATACATAATAAAACATAAATAACAAGGTCTTTCCTTGTTATTTTTGCTTTCTCCAGGATCAATTATTTGGCTTATTCCCCTTGAAACTTGTCTTTGTGTGAAGATTTTTAAGAAATAAAAGATGTATATCTTCAGTTCTCTTCTGTTCCACTTGACAAGATAATATATCCATGCAAAAGAATAGAATGCCACGAAAAACAAATATCTAAAATGAGTTTTTGAAATTCAAAATATGATTTCTGAAATTGAAAACTCAGCAGAAAGGTTTCCTGATAAAGAAATGTCCTAGAGTACATAGCAAAAAGACAAAGAAATAGAATATAGCAGATTTTGATTCCTAATAAATAGGAGGTTCCAAAGAAAGAACAAAGAAAATGGAGAAGCAGAAATTATGTATGAGTTCTAAATTCCTAGAGTTAAAAACAGCTATGAGACTTTATATTTAAAGGGTCACTAAGTGCCAAGCAGAATGAAATTAAAAAGACCTACACCTAGACACGTAATAATGTAATCTAAAATATCTAGAATGAAGATAAAATATTAAGAGCTTCCAGAAAAAAAAATAGCCTATAAATAATGAGTTTTGGTGTAGAAGATATTTTCAATGCTCCTCTGTGCCACAGCCCCTTGCTGCAGATCTAATTTCAGAACATCTGAAAAGCACATTTCACATAAAGGGACACCTCACAGATACAGCTTCTCAACTCAAGTGCATACTGTCTTTCCAGGGGATAATTCTGGGTGGCATTATATGTGCTTCAAAAATCCTAGCAGACTAAAGCTCCAAGCAGTGACCTCATTACCTTTCCTCCTTCCTTGTTTCACTACTCCCTTCCCTTAACCCTGTTTCTTAGAATATTATTTCAAACAGATGAACTTCACTTAAGTCTTTTTCTCAGGCATTAGTTTAGGGAAACATAAACTAAAATGTTGGTGCTCACATGCCTGGTGACAATGATGAAGGAATAATTACAGCTATGACAGCCTAACAAGAGCAAAGTAAATTTTACTCCTAGAAAAAACAAAATCTAAAAATTAATGACAATTGGCTTTGGGTTTAAGCAATGGGCAGATGCTGGAAGAGTTTGCAGGAGACTGATAGTGAAACCTGGAAGACCTCAAGGAGGCTGTTGGAGAGGGCTTGAAGACAGTGAGGATATTATTAGAGGCTGTCCTGCTCAGCCCAGACTGTTATATCAAAATACCAAAGATTAGGTGCTTAGCCACAGACACTTCTCACAGTTCTGAAGGTTGGAAGCCTGAGATCAAGGTGCCAGCAGATTTGATTCTTGATGAGGGCCCTCTTTCTGGATTGCAAATGACCACCTTCTCCCTGTGTCCTTATGGTACCTAGTGTAATGCCTTCAAGACCTAGGTCAATTTCTATCCACCTTAACTCTGCTTATCTTTAGGAAACAGGACTAAAGTCAGAAGTTTCCCCTTGTGATTAAACCAGCTAAGACTGGTGGGATCTAAAATGGCAGGTCACCTGACCTCTGAAGAGCTTCTAACTTCATTATAATCTAATTTCCATGCTCAGTGACACTCCCACAAGCACCATGACCATTGACAATCACTATGACAATGACCAGAATAAACCATAAAATGACAAAAAGGAAGGTGGCAACTCCCGTTCCAAGAAGTTCTCTACCCACTCCCAGAAAATACATGAATATTCCTCTCCTCGTTTTTAATGCCCAACCCTTTCATTAAATATGCCCTATACCTGCACTTCTAGACGCTCACTTTTGGTTTTGCATATTGACTTCGTAGCACTGGACAGGGAAAGACCCCATTTTAAGGGGGACCAACTTTGTTGGTATCGCTCACATGGCCTTTCCTCAATGTGTGTACTTGTAGAGAAATCCGTCTTTCTTCCTCTTCTTATAAGGGAACTAATCTCATCATGATGGCTCCACCCCCATCAGCTCATCTAAATGTTATTACTTCTCAAAGGCCCCACCTCCAAAGATAGTCACATTGGAGGTTAAGGCTTTTACATATGAATTTGTGGAGGATACATACATTCAGTCCATAACAGTCCATAACATAGTGAAAAGAGGCACTTTTTATGTAGTGGCAGAAAATCTGGCAACACTGTCACCTTTGGCAATAAGAAAAATAGAAAGAGTACCCAGTAACAGTAAATAGTTAGGGAGTACCCAGTAAATAGTTAGGGAGTACCCAGTTAATAGTTAGGGAGATTTGAAGGCAGAATTTCAAGCTTCATCTGGCTGATTTTAGCTGCCTATGATAAAATATAAGAAGAGATAAATGAAATAAAGGGGAAATACTTCCATTTTTTAAATCAAAATTTAAATGAAACATAAAAGGTCAAGCTTTCTGGGACCAAAAATAAGACCGTTTTTTAAAATCTCCAATCTCTCCAGAAAGAGAATGTCATAGTATAAATCTTTTCAAAACAAGGATCAAATTGTGTGGAAGTATAAGATCCTTGATAAACTGAAGAAAGAGCTAAAGTGGTATCTGAAAGATAACTTCAAACAGATAAAGGTCCTTGTATACCCTCTCTGTGACACATTAAGTCTTCTAATAATATTGAGGACATTATCATAGGGAACCAAAGGTAATGAAGGGACTGTCTCAAATAGACTTACGGGTATGGCTGTTATCTAAAGCAGGACTTTTCAACCTTGGCACTATAGACATTTTGGGTCAGATAATTTTTTGTTGGGATGAGGGAGTCTTTTGTGTTGTTCTGTACCTTGTAGAATGTTTAGCAATATTTGTGGGCTCTACCCATTAGATGCCAGTAGGACGCTCTTCACCCAATTCTTTTTTCTTTTTTTTTTTTTTTTTCAGATGGAGTCTCGCTCTGTCATCCAGGCTGGAGTGCAGCATGGTGCAATCTTGGCTCACTGTAACCTGTGCCTCCTGGGTTCAAGCGATTCTCCTGCCTCAGCCTCCCGAGTAGCTGGGATTACAGGTACCCACAACCATGCCAGGATAATTTTTGTATTTTTAGTAGAGACGGGGTTTTGCCATGTTAGCCAGGCTCGGTCTTGAACTCCTGAACTCAGGTGATCCACCTGCCTCAGCCTCCCAAAGTGCTGGGATTACAGGTGTGAGCTACCACACCTGGCCTCTTCACCCAATTCTTGACAGTCAAAATTGTTTCCAGGCCATCTAAATGCCTGTAGGACAAAATAATCTACATTTTAGAACCACTGGTTTAAAAAAGTGGATTATAATTTAATGCACAGAAAGTCCACGAAAACGTTAAAGGAATGATTATCAGCTTGGACTGAAAGAGAGAGAAATGGGACAAAATTAAAGAAAAAGCTCTCTCCAGATATCTAAACAGGAAGGACACTAAGAAAACTACTTAGTTGCAAACATAGGTTATTTTATGAAAAGTTCAATCTTTCCATTGAAAATGAATCTTATGCCCATCTTAAATCTGAGCAGGATCTGTAATTGCTTTTAACTAATAAAATATAATGCAAGTCACACTATGCCAGGTCCTGGCCTTAAGAAACTGGCAGCTTCTGATGGCAACAGTGGGCCATCTGGCGCAACCACTGCCATCACGCTGGCCACCTCAGGGAGGGCACAGGAAGGAGTTGGACAGCCCTCGCTGCCTGCAGCCCACCACCCTGGGAGCCGCCATGATGGGGTTGGGCCAGGTTGCGTGCTGAGGCCACAGGGGCAGCTCACAGCAACGTGGCGCCTGCCCCGGATGTCAGTCCAGGCCTGACCTGGAGTTGCCAGGAGGGTGGGGCTGCAGCCACCCACGTTGTGACTGTGGATCTGGGCCTCCCACTACAAGAGCAGGCAGAAGCCCTGCCCCCCAGCCAGCTGCAGCCTCCCAAACCAGAGCTGCAGACCCAGGCATTCCTGCACTCTTGGGGATCCTGGGAAGGGCCCCCTTGCCCTTGCAGGATTAGAGGTGCCTGCTCCCACTGCCTAGCCTCTCCCAACTCCCAGCATTAACTCCAATATTGGAGCAGGATTGGGGCTGAGCTTGGGCACTGTCATAGCCCAGCCAGGTGTGCCCACATTTGGGGCAGCACTGACATGTCAGCCCCCTGCTGCCTTGGCCCCCTGCAGACTTGAGGCACCAAGAAGTGTGGGAGGGGACATTGAGGTGGGGTTGGGGGTGGTTGGGTGATGGCCTGCAGGTACCAGCAGCCTGGGCTCCATGGATGACGTGGGAGGCAGACAGGCTCCTGGGAGGAAGGGGGTGAATCCCCAGTGAAGCCCCACCTTCAGGCCAGAACAGGCCTGAAGCTGGGGGCCAGGATGCCAGTCCTGCTGATGAGATGGGGAACTTATGGTGCTTTTTCCTGGGCCCTCCCATGGCTGCCCATGCAGTCAGCACATACTTCCTCCCCTCTGAGGTCAATAAAAGCCCTGGGCTCAGCCAGAGCAGGACAGAGAGTGGAGAGAATAGAGATAGCTGATAGCAGAGAGGAACTGCCTTCTGAACTGAGAGCTTCAGAGACCAGCAGAGGCATCAGAGCTACCAGCTGCAGAGAGGGGCTACCCTCTCCAGGGCCTCCACTCTGCTGAGAGCAGCAGACATTGGTAGTAACAGGGAGGAGCTACCCTCTGCAGGTCTCCTCTGAACTGTTCTAACACTTAATGAAGCTCCTCTTTGTCTTGTTGATCCTTCACTTGTCTGCATACCTCATTCTTTCTGGACATAGAACAAGAAGTCAGGCAAAGGCACCACTAGCCATAGAGGTTTCCAGCCAGAAAAACTGACACCCCAAAGATCCCATAACATAACATTTATACTTCCTGTCTCTCTATAAACTTATTCTTGGAACTCAACTGCCATACATGAGAAGCCTAAGACATGGACAGGCAATGTGTAGATACTCCAGTCACCAGCCTGCAGTGAACTGGAACTTAGGCATTCAGGTCATTTGAGCCTTCTCATGACTGCAATATCTATTTCTAACAGACTGCAACCATAGGAGAGATCCCAAGCAACAACCCAGCTAAGTCTAGTCAACACAGGAAACCATAATAAATAATAAATAATATGTTGTTTTAAGCCACTAAACTTTTTAGTGCCTTGTTATCCAGAAGTAGATAGTTGGTAATCACAGAAGAAACTTCGAGTAATTTAACTGACCTTTCAGAGATTAAGCTCTTGGTCATCACACCAGGTAAGCAGTTTAGACAAGCTAAAATTATGGCTGAAAAAAGGGAGAAAATCTAGAATGAACAATTGAGACAAGAGACGATAAATATCTCTAATGGTCTTGGACAAAGTGGCAGCATTAGGAACTGTAGTCTGTTCCATTAAGACTCCTGTATTAAATCTTATAAAAATTCCAGCTGGTTACTACCTTGAAGTATCAGAAACTGATTGAACTTAATGTGGTACTATACTAGTCTGTTCTCACAAGAAATACTCAAGACTGGGTAGTTTACAAAGGAAAGAGGTTTAATTGACTCACAGTTCTGCTTGGCTGGGGAGTGCTCAGGAAACTTACAATCATAGCAGAAGGAACTTCTTCACAGGGTGACAGGAGAGAGAATGAGTGCCAACAGGAGAAATGCCAGATGCTTATAAAACCCTCAGATCTCATTAGAACTCACTCACTATCAGGAGAACAGCATGGGGCAAACAACCCCCATGATTCAATTAACTCCCACCTGGTCCCTCCCATGACACATGGGGATTATGGGGATAACAATTCAAGATGAGATTTGGGTAGGGACACAGCCAAACCATGTCAGGTACATAAGGAGATATATCTACAGTGTAAGGAGTGAACCAGACACCTCTGGGGTGGGTCCTTGGTCACATCCTATCAATGCACATATAATTTCATTATCAGTTGTAGTAGACAGTTCCAAGTGGCCTCAAATTTATATAATGCTGAAAAATGTGCATCTTTTTGCATTTTGCCTCAGAGTTTTATCCAGCATTGTAGGAACTTTCAAGTACTAACAACAAATGGCAGTGCTAAGGAGAAATTTAATGCACCTTAAGAGAAACCAACAAACAATGTGGAGTGGTAACCTCTGTATTAAGTACTCCAGTGTCCTATACTCCAGACGGAAAAATCTGGGAGGTAGTAGGTACACTTCTCAGAATATGCTGGAGGAATTGAGCCCAGTTGTCCATAGCAGCTACTTTGATAGAGCACCCTAACATTGCATTTTCTTTCTTAACAACCTCACTCTCCCCACTCTCTCACTTCTGATTCCTGGGTCTAACACCAAAATAAACTACCTATACTTAAATTTTTGCTTAGGTCCTGCTTTCTTGAGGAACCCAAATTAAGACAGTGAGTTTGATATCTGCACTTTCAGAGCTCTTTGAGAATGACATGGAACCTAGATTTCCTTACCCAGACCAATTATTACCAGGCATAAAAGAAAAATATATTTTGGGGCATGTGAAAATATATAAATCTTACATCTCATGAAGATTTAGTTAAAAAAATTAAAGATTAAATCGAGAAAATTGTAAATTTTCCTGAGAAAAGAGCTCAAAATCCAGAACCAACCCAGGAGTGCAAAGGTAAAAAAATTATGGATGATAATAGTATAGTACACCTAGCAAATATTTAGACAAAATTAGACAGAAGGTCAGAGGACTCCAAGAATGCTTTCAAAATGAAAGTAAGTGTCATGTAACATATACTATTATTATTATTAAGAAGTTGTGAGATATTTATAAAAGACATTTACATAAATCTTTTATACATTTATTTGATCAAAAGTATATATTTTCTTCTGTCAAAAGGAAAAATACAATAGGAAATTCTAGGGAAAGTGTTGAAACTTATACTCCAGATCTGAATTAAGTAATACATGGTACAACTTAATCTTACTTTTTAAAAACTACATACATTAAAATTGATCTCTTTGATGTACAAGTCCATGAGTATTAAAACATGTTAATACCACCACGATCCATAGTTGAGGATACAATTTCCTCCACCTACAAATCTCCATCGTGCTGCCCCTTTGTAGTTGCACCGTTTCCCCAACCCAAACCTCTGGCAAACACTCATTATTTCTTTTTTTTTTTTTATTTGAGATAGAGTCTCACTCTGTCACCCAGCCTGGAGTGTAGTGGCATGATCTCAGCTCACTGCAAGCTCCCCCTCCCAGGTTCAAGCGATTCTTCTGCCTCAGCCTCCCGAGTAGCTGGGATTACAGGCACGCACTACCATGCCCAGCTAATTTTTGTATTTTTAGTAGAGCTGGGGTTTCACCATGTTGGCCAGCTGGTCTTGAACTTCTGACCTCAGATGATCTGCCCGCCTCGGCCTCCCAAAGCGCTAGGATAACAAGAGTGAACCACTTCACCCAGCCTCACTCATTATTTCATCCTCACTACAGTTTTGCCTTTTGTAAGGCATCATATAAATATAATCAGTCATACAGTATGTAACCTTTTAAAACAAACTTCTTTAGCACAGCTTAATGCCTTAAATATTAATCCTTGTGTGTATCAATAGTTTATTACTTTTTATTGTTGAACATTATTATATGAATGTGTCATAATATATCTATCCACTCATTGAAGAAATTCAGTTTATCTCTATGTTTTGGCAATTATAAAAAGAGCTGTTATAAATATTGTACATGAGCTTTTATATGAACATGTTTTTATTTCTCTAGAATAAATACCTGAGTGGGATTGCTTGATCATATATTAAGTGCATATTTATATTGTGACATCTGCTTGGTTTGTGACGTCTGCTTGGTTTTGTGACATCTGCTTGGTTTTCTTTTCCAGTCATTCTAATATACATTATCTCACTGTGGATTTAATTTGTATTTTTTTAATGGCTAATGATGTTGATCATCTTTTCATATGCTTGTTTCCATCTGTATATGCTCTTTGGTGAAGTGATGGTTTATGTTCCAATTTTTAAAACAGGATTGGTTGTTTTATTACCTGTTGAGTTTCGAGTGGTGTTTTTATATTCTATACTTAGTCCTTTGTCAGATAAGTGATTTCCAAGTATTTTTTTCTCACTTTGTAGCTTGTCCTTAATTATGACTTGATTTTGAAAAAGCATTAACATATAAGAATCTGAATACATATGCTCTGTCTCTTGCAACATCCTCATTCTCTTTGAAATGACATAGGACTACATGCATTTTCTGTGGGTCTAGTTATCATATTTATTCCTGTCATATATTCATATAATCATAATATTATAACAACCTTTATTTATTTTCCATTTTAAAAACTTAACATATAAGCAAAGGATTTTGAATTCCCTTAGTTATTCAATAGAATGTAAATATTACAAATAGAACAATTAAAAAGTAATGGTTTGGTATTACTTTTAAGAGCCAGACTAGACACTAGTTGGGAGTACCTACTTGCAGATAGGGGTTACCTGCTTCAGGTCACCTCTCTTCTGAGAGCTGTCTGGTTGCCCAATAAAGCTTTTCTCAGCCTCGCTCACCCTCCAGGTGTCCACATAACCTCATTCTTCCTGGATGCGGGATGAGAACTCGGGACCTGCTGAACAGCGGGAGTGAAAGGAGCTGTAACACTTTCCTGGCTGACTCACCGAGCTGCGGGCAGTGACACGCTCACAGACTGTGGGAGTGAAGAGTAGTGATTCTTCTGGGGGCCCAGACCTTGGTGTTGCCTGAGCCAGAGCTGTAACACTATAGCCCTCCCACCTTCTGCCAGCAGTGGGTGGCTGCCCCACACAACAGGAAGCAGAGGCCGGGCCAGGCCAGTCCAGGAGATGCGGGCTGGAGCGGGGCCCCAGGACTGTGAAAGAGCTGTAAAAAACAGACTGAAACACAGCCCTCTGAAACACACCCTCCCTCTCACTGCGCTGCGGGCGATGAGAAGGGGAGAAGAGCTGCGGCCCTTCTGTGAGCCCATACCTCAGGGCCCCTACCTTGAAATATTTCTGCTCTCAAGGCCCTAGCACTCTGGGCCTGTGATGGGGGTGGCAGCCTTAAAGATCTCCAAAATTCCTTCAGGGTCATTCTTCCACTGTCTTGATGAATGGCATCCGGGTTCCTTTTATCCATACTAATTTCCATATCACTTGGCCACATTCTTGCTATTCTCCCCAAAACAACCCTTTTCATTCTTTACATGGAAACATTTAGAATTTCCAAATCGTTAATTTCTGTTCCCTTTTTGATTATACATTCCATCTTTAATTTATTTCTCTCTTCTGCATTTTACTTTAAGACATTAATAGAAGCCACGCAGCAACCTGAACACTTTACACAGACATTCCTCCACAAATATCCAAGTTCACTGCTCTTAAATTCTGCCTTCCACAAAGCCCTAGGATACTGAGGCAACGCAGCCAAGTTCTTTGCAACTTTGTAACAAGGTTGTCCTTTCCTCTAGTTTTCAATATAGTATTTGTAATTTCCATCTAAGACCATCTCAGAATCTTTCCCTATTTCTACCAGCATTCTGATCATGACCGCTTACATACACACTAAGAAGACTGAGGGTCTCACTGCAGCGCTCGTCTTCTGAGGCTAATCATCTCCTAAAGGCTCCACCTCTTAACATTGTTGCACTGGGGATTAAGACTTAGCATGAATTTCAGAGGGAACACACACATTCAAACCATAGCAATGATGGTAACTATCTTACCATTGAACCAAGTATTTGCTATTTTCATTTGAACTAACAGTTGGAGGGTAAATTTGTGAAGTGATGATGAAGGGTTAGGGGAGCAGTGGGGAAGAAAAAGGACACACTATTCAAGAGCAGGTGGCACCAACACTTATAATCCTGAATATATGCATTTGCAAAACATGGCATTTTAGGGCCACTGTGAAACATCTGCCTGCAGCCATTTTGTTGTATTTAGTGAAAATCTGACTTCAAATGAAGAGCCTCACTACAGGGCTACTTTATTCATTTCTCTAGTACAAGAATTTTGGCAGTTGGCAAAGTATAATCAAATTATCATGGGAAGAAACACAAAACTCCCAAATCTACTAAGGGTTCTAGAAAGCTGTGCAGTTTGAGAAGACTTCTGACCACTATCATCTATCATTATATTATCTCATGGCAATAAATGGATCACTGGCCTAAACATTGGCAAAATGCCTAAAATATGTGAAACAAGAGAGAGAAGAGATAGGAGAATACACTTTTGGTAACTAGAAACCCTGAATTTTTTGTTGCTATTTTATTCTCCATGGGGAGGAAGTTGACTTAGTTATATTGGTTAAGATGTATTTAATTTTCAGCTATTTTCAAGCGTTTTCATTTGTTTTTAAATGTCCATAAATAACAAAATGTTATACATACTAGTACAGACTCATTCTAGTATTTTCAAACAGTTTCAAAGTTCAAGTGTTAACTGTTTTGTATTTTTCTTAATATAATTTTAGCAGATCTTTGCCCCCAAGCTTTTGTCAGCTAGCTGTGATAATGAATTGCTTTACACTTTAAAACTGGCAAACCTGCTATTAGCATTTCAAAAACAGATTATAGTAGGTTTTAGATTATGTTTGCTTTTGTTTTAAAACTGCTGTATGAATGATTATAGTTAAAGACAATGACTCCCAACTAGAGAAAAGAAAAAAACCTCACATAAAGGAAAGATGTATTATGAACTAGCAGTGTTGACTTCAGTTATTTTTATCTTGCTTAAATACATAAAAACATACAACAGAATAAATCCCTCATGTGCCTAGTTCTCTCCCAATCATAAAGCCAAGCATTTATAGCAAATACTAAAAAATTTAAGAAAATAAAAATTCAGAGTAACAGCATTCAATTAATGTGATGGATGATATTTTGCTAAACTAAATTAAAACTCTCAATATAAACACGGTACTGAATGCTACAGTGTAAGTTGGTGGAGGTTCAGCAAACTAATGGTGATGTGATGGCAGGACCACCTCACCACTTTTTTCTATTTAAGTGATCTTTTCCTTTGTGATAGCATCTGGCCTTTCCCTTGGTGCACATGTTGCATTTGCATTTTAAATCAGCCTCTGTTTTCCTCTTCTCAATCCACTATAAATGGTACATTACTTTCCCTCAATGCTCTTTCTTACTCTCAGATCCCAATATATTATATTCCTTAATAAATTGAAGTCTTAATCTATGAAAACATTTTCAATAGAAATTTATACCTATACATTTGTCTGGTAATGTTAAAAAGTCCAACATGAAAATTGTGTTAGAAAAGAAATGATTTTATCTTTTTGATATTAGGATCAAATGGTAGATATCCTTATAATAAAAATTCAAATATAAATATTGTAACAGATAGTAATCATTTTAATATTAGAAAATGTCAAGGTAATTGCTATTGCTAAGACATGTTTGCCAGTACATTAAAAGCTAAATGCTGTCAATTGTGTCAATTGCTTATTTCAAATAGAATAAAAAAACTAACACTAAATTAATGACTATATAGGATGTGTGGATCATCTAACATTTCCTGACAACACATATGTGAAATCTGATTTGAAAAACGCTAGATTAAACCAAATACCTTTTGGGGAAAAAATGTAGTCCATGTATTACCTGGGGACATGCCAACAGTTTGAAAAAATACTACTTATAGTTTGTATTTAGTATAATATATCAGCTCCAAACAGGTTCTAAGTGCCATTTCAAACTCTTATTCTACTTCAGGAACTCTAAGTCTGAAAAGAACTTTCCCACATATGCAGAGTGACTATGTTGGAGCTTAGTACAATACATTTAAACTTATTCTGCAAGGGAGTTAAACACTGTCTTTGATGTTTTGTTGACACATGATCTCACAAAGGAAATTTTAAAACCAGTATAAGCTTAATATAATAGAACAAATATGTGTGAAGTATACAAAATTAGAGTTTTAGAAGAGTTATGTGTACATTTTGTCTCCACCATTTACTTGCTATGCAATCTTAGGCCAACACAGAAGGTAATGATAATTAAATGAGTAAAGTAATATGCAGTATAAGGGATACTTTTTATATTCAGTTGTAAAACAATTTTAATTATTTCTTTTGATGATACACAATGGTGATATGATAATGTTATTTATAAGTTTTCAATTTAGGAAACTACAGCATGTGTTTTTTAGGAATGACATATCATCCATAGAGGACAAAAGAAGCCTTCTTCTGTCTTTACTGATTTCTATTTGGTTCCTTATCATATAGAATAATAGCATTTTGTACATTCTTAAAAAGAAAGATTAGCTTGTATTCACAATATTTACCTCCAGACTCAGTAAGCATTTGTTGAAAATCTTCTATGATTTATTCATTGTGATTAGTAATAACAACTACACAAAGAGGTTGAAAAGACCCAGTTATCATGGACCTTGCAGTTTAATAGGAAGACATACATAAATGTCCATCTAACCAGGCAGCATCTGATAGACATAATAAAGTAGATAAAATATTCTATAGAAGAAAAGAAAAGGGAGATAATTTACAACTTTGGAATTCTTGGTAGCATCCATGCAAGATGTCTGTACCAAGCATTTAGTCTCTATGTTGACAGAAGTTACTTTCAATTTGTGGGGATGTAAACACATTGTAAAATGTATTTCATTTGGAAGAAATCAGAAGCCCAAGAAATTGAAAGGAGTGATTTTATGTTTAGAGAACAATAAATCATTTCATATGGCATGATTTTTGTCTTCAAAAGTGTTTTGTGAAAGATAATGGTTGAAAATAGTCTAGGGCCAAATCAAGTAAGAATTTGAATATTAATCTAAGAAAGTTATATTATATGTAATATATAATATATAATACATTAGACTGTAGATTTTTAAAGAAAGGAAAGCCATGATCAAACATAGGGGTGGGACATATACAAAGATGAGAAAGACCAACAAGAAACATTGCAGGGTCTGAGTTTCTGCTGTTCTGAGAATGATAGAAAAAAAAAAATAGACAAAAACAGAATAAGTAGCAAGAATCTATAGAATTTCCTGATTAATGGAATACAGGGTACAGAAAGGAAAATTTATTATGTAATTTTGAAGTCTGAACCTTAGGAAATGGTGGTAGTGTTACAAAGAGAGCAAAAAAAAAAAAAAAAGATAATGGCAATGGAAAACAGAAATTAGAAATTAGGGGAAATGATGAGCAAATGAGCACTGAGAGGCAGAAATAAAATTTGGTATTCATGAGATCATTGAGAAAATTTACAAGAACTGAGGTGAGAGCAGGAATTCAGAATGTAAAGAGTTTAAGAATGAAAGGAGACTATCATTTTCAGCTTAATTCATATTAGACAACATCAAAAACCTTCCCCATACAAAAATGTGAATATGGTGAATACATTTTAACAATCTTTTCCAATGTACATTTGTCCCTGCCAGAAAATAAAGGAAACTTTAAAGCCAAAAATGAAAAAGATGTTGAAAACCACTGTAAAAAATGGGCATTTACTTGTAGCAAACTTAGGTCATTTATTATTCTGTGCTACTTATTGCCTTGCTTTCTAATAATTACAAAGAGGACAAGACATTTTGCCTTGAATCCACAAAGTTAACATTCCTAATTTAGACTGTAGCATAAAACACAAAAGGCTACATTCTCAGTAGTTAGGTTGATTAAAATAAAGGAAAATAATAAGGAAATATATTTGGATTGGTCCACACTCTGATTGTGTAGTGTCTTAGTCATTCGGGCTTCTATAACACAATACCATAGACTGGATGGCTTATATATTGATTTATTTGTCTATTTTTCCACCAGTACCACTCTTTCTTGATTACTGTAGCTTGATAATAAGTCTTGAAGTAAAGTTGTGTCAGCCTTCCAACTTTCTCCTTCTCCTTCAACACTGTGTTGGCTAATTTGGGTCTTTTACCTTTCTATATAAATTTTAAAACCAGTTTTTCAATCCACACAATAATTTGCTGGGATTTTTACGGGGACTGCGCTGAATCTATAAGTCAAGCTGGGAAGAACTGACATCTTGACAATATAGAGTCATGAAAATGGAATGAAAGGCAAGGACATACAACATTATCAATATTCTCACAGAAAAGGGTAGTGGTCCAATCTACCATAGATAAAATCTCCTGTGGAAGTGAAATAGATGCACTACTCTATAACAAATTTTATGTGGTAAGAAAAACCTAGATAATAAAACCCAGCATGGATACCAACACAAGGTTAAAGTGTAGTGCAATGTCTTACATGAAGACAAATGCAGGCATTCTAAATAAAATACTATCAAGTCAAATTCATGCAGCACAGAAATGCAAGATGGTTCATATCTAAGAACATAAATGTCTCTCCAATTATTTAGTTCTTCTTTTATTTTGTTCATCAGAGTGTTGTAACTTTCCTCATATAGATCTTGTACATACTTTGTTAAATTTATACCTAAAAATTTCATTTTGGGGCTGCTAATGTAAGTGGTATTGTGTTTTAATTTCAAATTCCAGTTGTTCATTTCTTATATACAGGAAATCAACTGAGTTTTATATATTAATCTCATGTCTTGTAACTTTAGTATAATTGCTTATTAGGCCTAGGAGTTTTTCTCCTTCCCAATCAGTATATCTTTTATTTTGGTTTCCTTTCATATTGTATTAGCGAGCATTTTCAGTATGCTGTTGAAAAATACTGCTTAAACGGGACATTCTTGCCTTGTTCTTGGTTTTAGTGGGGAAATTTCTAGTTTCTTACTGTTGAGTATGATGTTAGTTCTAATATGCAGATATTCATTATCAAGTTAAGGAAGTTCCCTTCTATTCCTAGTTTACTGAGAGTTTTTAATCATTAACGGGTATTGGATTTTGTCAAATGTTTCTTCTGCATCAATTGATACAATCGTATGATTTTTTTTTCTCCTTTGGCCTTTTGATATGATGGATTATATGACTTGATATTTCTAAAGAAATGGAAGAAACTGGAAAGCAAGTGAATGTGTGAAAGAAGCCAATCTGAAAAGTCTATATACTGTATTCTAAATATATGATATTCTGGAAAAGGAAAAACTATGGAGACATTAAAAAAGATCAGTAGGTTGACAGGAGTTACAGAGGAAGCAGGGTTGAATAGGTGGAGAACAGAAAAATTTTTTAATGCAATGAAACTGCTCTCTATGATATTATAATGGTGGATACATGTCATTGTTCATTTGTGCAAACATACATAATGTACAACATCAAGAGTCAATATTAACTATGGACTTTGGGTGATAATGATGTGTCAACGTAGGTTCAATGGCTGTATCAAATGTACCACTTTGGTGGGGGACTTTGTTAATGGTGGAGGGAGGCTATTCATGCATGTATAGGGGAAAGGGGTAAATGATAAAGCTTTCCTCCTTCTTTTCAATTTTTCTGTGAACTGAAAACTGTTCTAAAACGATAAAGTTTAAAAAAAGAATAATCACAAAGAAAGAAAAAGAAAAATAATAAATATGAGTAGATAATGAAATTAAATAAATAATATGAAATAAAGAGTTGGCTTTTTGAAAAGACTAATAAAGGCCGGGCGTGGTGGCTCAAGCCTGTAATCCCAGCACTTTGGGAGGCTGAGGTGGGCAGATCACCTGAGGTCAGCAGTTTGAGACCAGCCCGGCCAACATGGTAAAACCCTGTCTCTACTGAAAATACAAAAATTAGCCAAGTGTGATGGCATGTGCCTGTAGTCCCAGCTACTCGGGAGGCTGAGGCAGGGGAATCACTTCAACCTGGGAGGTGAAGGTTGCAGTGAGCCGAGATTGTACCATTGCACTCCAGCTTGGGCGACAGAGAGAGACTCCATCTCAAAAAAAAAAAACAAAAAACAAAAAACAAACAAACAAAAAAAAAAATAAAAAAACTAAGCATAGCAAGATTAATAAAGAACAAACCAAAGGAAGAAATAATCATTTGAAATTTTAAACTAGGGAGAATATGTAAAGGCAGCAGAAATTTAAAAATGAGTAGAATTTTATATCAACTTTAGGACAAAGATATAAACAAAATGGAGAGTTTTCTAGACAACTATAACTTAATTTATTCAAAGTGGTTCAGAAATAAATTTTTAAGACCCACATAGACCTACAATTATTAAACTAATTAATATCTTTTTAAAAATCTCATTTAAAAGAGAAAAATAATTTTGTAGGTGATTTCTATCAGACATTAAAGAAAAATGTAATTTTAATTTTTAATGATGTGTCAGTTCATTTATGCTATAGTTGCAAAAAATCTCACGTGTGTCAGTGATCTGCAACAACAAAGATTTATTTCTCATATAAATTGTGTATCCAATCCCAACGCTAATGCACGAGGAATACTCTCAGGGACAGAGAGAGTGTAAGTCAAATAATAACAGGTAGGGACACATAATCAATATACTCACAAGGAAAAGTGGTAGTCCAATCTACCAGATGAACTCTTCCATGGAAGAGAAATAGATGGACTACTCTATAACATATTTTATGCGGTGAGAAAAACCTAGAAAGAAAATACCAACATGAACACGGACGCAAGGTTAAGTTGTAGTGCAATATCCTTCAAGAAGACACATGCAGACATTCTAAATAAAATATTAACAAGTCAAATGCATGCAGTACAGAAATTCAGAATGGTTTATCATGACAAAATATATTAATATAATCAACAAAACTAATAGATAAAAAGAAAAAAGTGTATCTCAGTAACAGAAAAAGACTTTCTTAAAATTCACTGCTCACTTATGATTAAAAACTCTAGGAATCTAGGAATAGAAAGTTCTTGAACCAGATATACCAAAAGAATAAAGAAACATTACACTTAATAATGAAATATTAGGTATAATGTCTTTAAAATCAGAAACAAAACAAAGGTACTTATCAGTCTTTTTTTAAATTGTTTTATGGATCTAGCCAGCAAGCACAGCACGAAATAAATAATAGGAAATTTCTAAAGCAAGAAACAAATCTGGCATTATTTGCCAGAATATGATGCTCTACATAACAAAATCAAGAGACTTAACAATTATTATAACTAATAATTTTAGCAAGATTGCTTTATAACAGACCAACAAACAAAATTAGTTTAATGTCAATACTTCAGCAACAAACTGGTCCATAAAATAAATTTTTAAAGTATTTAATTTAGAATAACTTCCAAAAGTAAAAATTATCTTGAAATAAATTTTAAAAAATGGGTGTCATAATGATGCACAGCATTTAAAATATTTTATTGAAAGAAATTAAAGATGTACATAAGTAGAGATAATTTCAAAGACATGGAAATTCAATATTGTGAAGATGGCAGTTTCCTCAAAATTAATCTATGCATTCAACATAACTCAGATGATGTTTCACCAAAGTTTTGTTTTGTTTTCATTTTTTATAGTGTAGCAAGCTCATTATAAAATTAGCATGGAAAACAAATTACTAAGAGTCATAATGACAGTTTTAGAGAACATGGTAAATTACATGGGTATTGAGTAAGCATGTAACAGTACCTGCCACATGTGTTTGCCAGATTAGATGAAGGATTTCTACAAATCAATAAAGAAAAATAAAAATTAATCTAGTATAAAATGTCAAAAGATATGAACAGGCAGTAGATAAAAAAGGTAAATAAACTGGTAAATATTAAATGTGAATAGATGCTCAATCTCAGTAGCAAAGAGGGATGTGCAAATGAAAACTAACTTTAGATATTACTTCAAATCTCTGAAAATAGTGTTTTGATAAGAATAATAAATAAGATTTTTTTTATTCCACTGGGGAAGGCAACTACTAAGAGCAATTAGCAATATCTAGCAAATCTGATGAGTTTATTATACCTGCTACTCAGAAAGCACGTTATAGGTATATACAGCAAAGAAATGATCATACACTTTCATAAGGAGACATTTTTAAAATAGCAACAATAGAAAAATATATTAACAACTTAAATGTTTATCAAAAGAACAGGTAAATAAAATTTGACATTATCATATATCAAATGTTAAATGACAGTGAAAATGAATTCTTAGCAACTGAAAATTCATTATGGATAAATCACAAATATGTTAGGCAAAGACCTATATACTCAGTGATTTCATTTATATAGAAATGGAAACATTCAAAATGAGTCTATATACTACATAGGAATACATACACATTTAGCAAAAATGTAAAGAAATAAATGAGATTGATAAATAATAAAATTGTATTAATAGTTTCTTTCATGCGCGTCCCTGTGAAGAGACCACCAAACAGGATTTGTGTGAGCAATAAAGCTTTTAATCACCTGGGTGCAGGCAGGCTGAGTCCAAAAAGAGTCAGTGAAGGGAGATAGGGGTGGGGCTGTTTTATAGGATTTGGGTAGGTAAAGGAAAAAGGGGGGTTGTTCTCTGGCGGGCAGGAGTGGGGGTCACAAGGTGCTCAGTAGGGGAGCTTTTGAGCCAGGATGAGCCAGGAGAAGGAATTTCACAAGATAATGTCATCAGTTAAGGCAGGAACAGGCCATTTTCACTTCCTTTGTGGTAGAATGTCATCAGTTAAGGCAGGAACCGGCCATCTGGATGTGTATGTGCAGGTCACAGGGGATATGATGGCTTAGCTTGGGCTCAGAGGCCTGACATTCCTGTCTTCTTATATTAATAAGAAAAGTAAAATGAAATAGTGGTAAAGCGTTGGGATGGTGAAAATTTTTGGGGGGTGGTATGGAGAGATAATGGGCAATGTTTCTCAGGGCTGCTTCGAGTGGGATTAGGGGCGGCGTGGGAACCTAGAGTGGGAGAGATTAAGCTGAAGGAAGATTTTGTGGTAAGGGGTGATATTGTGGGGTTGTTAGAAGGAATATTTGTCATTTAGAATTATTGGTGATGGCCTGGATACGGTTTTGTATGAATTGAAAAACGGAATAAGAGAAGGAGAAAAACAGGTATTAAAGGTCTAAGAATTGGGAGGACCTAGGACATTTAGAGAGTGCCTAAGGAGGTTCAGCATAGCTTTGCCAGCAAAGATTATTTATTTACTTTAAGAGTTAAGAGTGGCGGTTTGGGGATAGCACCAGGAGATATCAGCTGTGATCGCTTGGAGAAACAGTGTAAACTGACAGTGTAAACAAGAGCAGGGCATGTATGAGTAGTTGAGAACGGTGAATAGGAGTATGACTAGACAGAAGATAGTAGGGATGACAAGTTTTTTGGGGCAGAGTCCAAGTTGGTCTGGTGTCTGGAATGAGACCGGGGCCTAATAAAAAGGAGTGTCTATACAGGAGCTCAAATGGGCTGTACCTTGTAGCATTCTGAGGACAGGCCTGAATTCTGAGAAGGGAAAGTGGTAAAAGTATTGTCCTGTCCTTTTTAAGTTGGTGGCTGAGCTTGGTGAGGTGTGTTTTTAAAAGACCATTAGTCTGTTCTACCTTTCCTGAAGACTGATGACTGTAAGGGATATAAAGGTTTCATTGAATACTAAGAGACTGAAAAAATTCTTGGCTGATTTGACTAATAAAGCCCGGTCTGCTATCGGACTGTATAGAGGTGGGAAGGCCAAACCAAGGAATTACGTCTGACAGAGGGAAGAAATGGCCGTGGTGGCCTTCTTAGACCCTGTGGGAAAGGCCTCTACCTATCCAATGAAAGTGTCTACCTAGACCAAGAGGTATTTTAGTTTCCTGACTCGGGGCATGTCGAGTAAAGCTAATTTGCCAGTCCTGGGCAGGGGCAAATCCCTGAGCTTGATGTGTAGGAAGGGAGGGGGCCGAATGATCCCTGAGAAGTAGTAGAATAGCAGATGGAACACTGAGAAGTTATTTCTTTGAGGATAGATTTCCACGATGGAAAGGAAATGAGAGGTTCTAAGAGGCAGGCTAGTGGCTTGTACTATAGCATAGCCTGCCTTTGCTGGTGTGTGCCGATTAGGCCTGGTGGAACTGCCATCAATAAACTAAGTGTGATCAGGGTGAGGAACAGGGAAGAAGGAAATGTGGGGAAATGAGGTGAACGTCAGGTGGCTCAGAGAGATGCAGTCATGAGGTTCAGGTGCGGTATCAGGAATAATGTGGGAGGCCAGATTGAAGTCCGGGCCAGGAACAATGGTAATTGTGGGAGACTCAACAAAGAGTGAGTATAGCTGAAGGAGCTGGGGAGAAGAAAATATATGCATCAGGTGGGAGGAAGAAAATAGATTTTGGAAGTTATGAGAACTGTAGAGAGTGAGTTGAGCATACTTTGTGATTTTTAGGGCCTCTAACAGTATTAAAGCAGTGGCAGCCACTGCACACAGACATGAGGGCTAGGCTAAAACAGTAAGGTCAAGTTGTTTGGACAGAAAGGCTACAGGGTGCGGTCCTGGCTCTTGTGTAAGAATTCTGACTGCACTAACCATGCCTAGGAAGGAAAGGAGTTGTTGTTTTGTAGAAGGGGTTGGGGTTTGGGAGATTAGCCGGACATGATCAGCAGGGAGAGCACATGTGTTGTTATGAGAATTACGCCAAGATAGGTAACAGAGGAGGAAGAAATTTGGTCTTGACTGAAGTAATGGGGGCTGTCTGTGAAGACTTGCGGCAGTACAGCCCAGGTAACTTGCTGAGCCTGATGGGTGTCAGGGTCAGTCCAAGTGAAAGCGAAGAGAGGCTGGGATGAAGGGTGCAAAGGAATAGTAAGGAAAGCATGTTTGAGATCTAGAACAGAATAATGGGTTGTGGAGGGAGGTATTGAGGATAGGAAAGTATACGGGTTTGGCACCACAGGGTGGATAGGCAAAACAATTTGGTTGATAAGGCATAGATCCTGAACTAACTTGTAAGGCTTGTCTGGTTTTAGGACAGGTAAAATGGGGGAATTGTAAGGAGAGTTTATAGGCTTTAAAAGGCCATGCTGTAGCAGGCGAGTGATAACAGGCTTTAATCTTTTTAAAGCGTGCTGCGGGATGGGATATTGGCATTCAGTGGGGTAAGGGTGATTAGGTTTTAATGAGATGGTAAGGGGTGCATGATCGGTCACCAAGGAGGGAGTAGAGGTATCTTATACTTGTGGGTTAAGGTGGGGGGATACAAGAGGAGGATGCAAAGGAGGCTTTGGATTGGGAAAAAGGGTGGCAATGAGATGTAGCTGTAGTCCAGGAATAGTCAGGGAAGCAGATAATTTAGTTGAAGTGACCCAGCCTAATAAGGGAACTGGGCAGGTGGGGATAATTATAAAGGAGTGCTTAAAAGAGTATTGTCTAAGTTGGCACCAGAGTTGGGGAGTTTTAAGAGGTTTAGAAGCCTGGCCGTCAATACTCACAACAGTTATGGAGGCAAGGGAAACAGGCCCTTGAAAAGAAGATAATGTGGAGTGGGTAGCCTCCATATTGATTAAGAAGGGGACGGACTTACCTTCCACTGTGAGAGTTACCTGAAGCTCGGCATCTGTGATGGTCTAGGGGGCTTCCGAGGCAATCAGGCAGCGTCAGTCTTCAGCCACTAAGCCGAGAAGATCTTGGAAGGAGTCAGTCAGAGAGCCTTGGGCCAGAGTTCCAGGGCCTCTGGGAGTGGCTGCCAGGTGAGTTGAACAGTCCGATTTCCAGTGGGATCCCGCACAGATGGGACATGGCTTAGGAGGAATCCTGGGCGGCACGCATTCCTTGGCTCGATGGCCAGATTTTTGGCACTTGTAGCAAGCTCCTGGGGGAGGAGGTTCTGGAGGAACGCCTGGCCGCTGCAGTTCAGGCGTTTAGAAGTTCTTGTGTGCTGGAGATATGGCTGGGATTTGTCTCACAGTGGAGGCAAGGAATTGCAACTTTTTTCTATTATTGTACACCTTGAAGGCAAGGTTAATTAAGTCCTGTTGTGGAGTTTGAGGGCTGGAATTTAATTTTTGGAGTTTTATTTAATGTCGGGAGCAGATTGGGTAATAAAATGTATATTGAGAATAAGACAGCCTTTTAACCTCTTGGGGTCTAGGGCTCTAAAGCATCTCAGGGTTGCTGCCAAACGGGCCATGAACTGGGCTAGATTTTTATATTTGATGAAAAAGAGCCTAAATGCTATCTGATTTGGGATAAAGAAAAAGGAGCATTAACCTTGACTATGCCTTTAGCTCCAGCCACCTTTTTAAGAGGAAATTGCTGGGCAGGTTGGGGAAGGCTAGTCGCGGAACGAAACTGTAAGCTGGACCGGGTGTGAGAAGGGGAGGTGATAAAAGGATTATAGGGTGGAGGAGCAGAGGCTGAGGAAGAACTGGGACTTAGCTCGGCCTGGCGAGGAGGGGAGAGGTCAGATAGGTCTGTAGAAAAGGAAGATTAGAAAGACTCAGGGAAGCTTGGGGTTGGGACTGAGGGGACAGGAGGGAGGGAAAGAAGGAAGATTTGGGACGAGTTGCATTGGGAACAGAGACTAGGAAGGGCCTAATGTGTAAAAGAATGCCTGGACGTCAGGCACCTCAGACCATTTGCCCATTTTACGACAAGAATTATTTAGATCTTGTAGGATGGAAAAATTGAAAGTGCCATTTTCTGGCTATTTGGAACTACTGTTGAGTTTGTATTGGGGTCAAGCGGCATTTCAGAAGAAAATAAGACACTTCTTAGATTTTAGGTCAGGTGAGAGTTGAAGAGGTTTTAAGTTCTTAAGAACACAGGCTAAGGGAGAAGAAGGAGGAATGGAAGGTGGAAGGTTGCCTATAGTGAAGGATGCAAGTTTAAAGAGAAGGGTAGAGACACGGAGGGAAGGGGTTTGGGGGTTCTTACCCTCCAGAAAAGTGAGAAAGGGGTTGGGGCACAGAGATAAGAGATCGGGGCATGGAAATAAGGGATCGGGGCACAGAGATAAGAGGTTGGGGCATGGAAATAAGGGATTGGGGGTTCTTGCCCCCTAGAAAAGCGGGACTTGCCACTAAGGGTGAAGGAGAAGGGGTTGAGGGGTTCTTGCCCCTCCCTCAGAAAAGCAGAGAAGGGGTAGAGACACAGAGAGAAGGGGTTGGGGTACTTGCCCTTCCTCCAGAAAAGCGGGACTTGCCGCTAAGGATGAAGGACCAAGGCAGGTGTCCTTGCATGGTCTGACACCTCTGAAATGTGGGTGAATAATCAGAGAGGCATCCTTGCAATGATTAAACACCAAGGAAAGGCTGCCTTCCCAGTCTGCGACCAGCGCCAGAGTTTTGGGTCCACAGATAAAACGTGTCTCCTTTGTCTCTACTAGAAAATGAAGGGAATTGAAATTAAGAGAAGGGAGAGATTGAAGTGTGGTGCCAAGATTGGAAGGAGAAAGAGGTTGAGGGATAGTGAGGGAGGTTGGAGAAGAGAGTGAAAAGAGGCTGCTTACCGGATTTGAAATTGGTGAGATGTTTCTTGGGCTGGTTGGTCTGAGGACCTTAGGTCGTAGGTGGATCTTTCTCATGGAGCAAAGAGCAGGAGGACAGGGGATTGATCTCCTAAGGGAGGTCCGCCGATCCGAGTCACGGCACCAAATTTCATGCGCGTCCCTGTGAAGAGACCACCAAACAGGATTTGTGTGAGCAATAAAGCTTTTAATCACCTGGGTGCAGGCGGGCTGAGTCCAAAAAGAGAATCAGCAAAGTGAGATAGGGGTGGGGCTGTTTTATAGGATTTGGGTAGGAAAAGGAAAAAGGGGGGTTGTTCTCTGGCAGGCAGGAGTAGGGGTCACAAGGTGCTCAGTAGGGGAGCTTTTGAGCCAGGAGAGGGAATTTCACAAGATAATGTCATCAGTTAAGGCAGGAACAGGCCATTTTCACTTCTTTTGTGGTGGAATGTCATCAGTTAAAGCAGGAACCGGCCATCTGGATGTGAATGTGCAGGTCACAGGGGATATGATGGCTTAGCTTGGGCTCAGAGGCCTGACAGTTTCCTCTACAGGAAAAATTTGATTATTTTACTTCTTAAATAGTGGGAATATGCATATTCTATTTATCTGTCTATCCTTTATGTAATTCTGCATGTCTGCAATGTTTCATAATGATTTAAATAATAAATGGAAATTTGGTAAGTATCTTTACATGAAGTTCTAAGTGAAAAAGAAAGTGAGAACAAAATTTGTGGAGCAGTGAAATCAATGGATTACTTGACCTCAAAACCAGTTTCACTCTCACCTCTGCCTCTGCCTCTGACTCTGACTAGCCTGTTTTGAAAACTTGATAACATTTTTCACCTCTTCAGGCATGTTTGAAAGGAGAGCAAGATCCAAGTATAGGCAAAGACTTTAACTTTTGATATAAGAAAATATTCTTCTAAGTTAGGAAAAAAACGACATAATTTTGATGAATATAGTTTGAACTGCCCAGCATAATATTTTAACTTTCTGACTAGAAGACACAATGAGACTATGCCATAAATAAATGGTTGTGTTTAAGTGTTATTTTCATTATGCTACAGTGAACTTTGTGTGTGATTATTCTTTCTCATTTTTTAGGCCTGCACTATGTACTGCTAAGTCAATTTGTGGATTTAAGTAGCAGGTCAATTCTATCAAATGCTGCTGGGTCACTGAATAAATTGAGGACAATGGCAACAGGAAAGCTACCTCTGACCTTGACAAAGCAATTTCAATGGAGTAGGTAGGTGAATTAGGAAGCAAAGCTAAAGAAGCATTGAAAAGTAAAAGGAAAGTGAATGAAAAGAGATGATATGTGGAAGCAGTTTAGGGATGAAGAAGAAGAAAATTTAAGCTGGTAGCTGGAGAGCAATGAGGGATTCAGGGACGTTTTCTTGTTTTGTATTTAACGGAAATAGAAGAGGATGCTTTTATGCTGATTCAGTAGAAAGAGAAAAGTTGATGATGTGGATGTTCTACAACTGCTTCAGATTCAACACTTCCAGTATTCAATTACTCATCATCCCACTTCTCTCCCCTCCCTTCAATCTGTCTATCCGGATTTCATCCCCAAATCAATGTATAGATCCTCCACCTACAGTCTCCTAAGCCAAAAGTCACCACAGAGTGCCTCTTCTCTAGCATTTTCCATTTGCAGTCCATCGCTAAGTGCTACAAAATTTACCTTCTAAATTAAAAACAGTCTTCTCCTTTTCCCCATTCTAGTGCAAATGTACTGATTTAGACAATCACTCTCTCTCAGATGCATACATTTTATGGCTTCTATTTGATCTCCACCTCTAGTGATACTCTGTAAAATCTACCTTCTATGTTGTGCCAAATCACTCTCCAACACACATGTCAATCACCTGCTTAAAATCCTCTTATGGTTTCCCAACAACTAACCCTAATCTCTAAGCTTAAAATTTTGGGACATTCTCTGAGTAGTCTTCAGCAATAGTTCTACTTATATATCCTGGCACACCCTACACTGTTTCAAACCTCCAACTAACTCTTGGCTAAAACTGCCCCCATTTGACCTTCTTGCTATTTTTTAAAAATTCAGGTCAACAATCATCTACCCCTGGAAGTTTCTGCCTTCTCAGCGTCATCATCCTGAACCCTTTCTCTATGCTTCTATGGTAGGCACAATCCTAATATGATCCCACAAGATTTTCTGCCTAATTCCCAGGACTGTGAATATGATAAGAATTCATTCAGATTATGTTAATTAATATAAGTAATTTTGCAGATGTAGTTAAAGTTACTAATTAGTTGACTGTGAGTTAATAAAAGAAGAGATTATCTAGGTGGGACATAATCCAGTCACATGAGCCCTTTAAATAGCAAAGAGTTCTCTCTTGCTGGTGGCAGAAGAGGAAGTCAGTGAGAGTCCAAGAATGGGAAGGATTCAAAGCATCATTGCTGACTTAAAGAAATGGCATGGGACCACATGATAAAGAACAGGGCGGGCCTCTAGAAGCCAGAGTGACCCCCAGCTGACAGCCAACAAGGAAACAAAAACCTCAGGCCTACTGTACCACCACAAGGGACTAGATCCTGCGAGAAACTTGAATGAGCTGGGAAGTGGATTCTCTCCCAGACCTTCCAGATAAGAGCCCAGACTGTCTGATACCTTGATTTTTGGCCTTGTGAGACCCTAAGAAGACACTTCAATCAAGCTTGCTGAGACATATAACTTACAGAACTCCAAGATAGTACATCGTGCTGTTTTAAGGTGCTCAGTTTCTGGTGATTTGTCACAAAGCAATCAAAGACCAGTTCAACTCCATAGCTTCATAATTATGTTGACTCTTTTGTACTTTATGCTTATAGTGGGTGCTTGCTTCCCAATTAGTTTGTGAGCTTTTTAGGATAGAAAATATGTGTTAAGTGACGTTTGTATTCCCGGCATGTATTAATAACACAGTACTTGGCCCAACACATTTGAGGGGGATTACTGTCAATTGAGTCCATGGGAAGAAAACATTGAGATAGAGTTTTGATTGGAGTGCAAGGAGTTCATGGGGGGCAGGGAGGACAGAGGTAACATCCGTGAAAGATAAAAAGCAGAAGAAGCTGAACTGACCATTGAAAGCTTCCAGCCTGTAATACAGATCTACAACCCAGAGCAATGAATCTGGAGCTCCAGAACAATGAGTACCCATGAGAGGAGTCCCATGTTGGGCAGAAATGGCCAGGTCTAGAGTATCCCCATCCAGTAATTGGCTGGGGGCTGCCCAGAAAGATCATTGTCTTGGCTTGAAAGCTGAGGTGAATCCTGAAGGTGCTAACAGCTGGAAGCTGTCAGCTAACTGCACTTCTTTCAGGTGAATATGCAAGTTCTTCCTGGAAGAAAAATCTAAGCAGCACACATCGACAGCCGCCACTGTAAAAAACATCACTATCTCTTAGGAACATAATGTAAGCTCTATTCATCAAAGACGAACTATAATGTTTTCTTCCAGAAAGAATACAATGAAGAAAAGACTCCAAAATGATAATATCATGCCTCTAAAATTTAGTTAAGAATCTCACTATTTTACAGCAAAAGTTGTAATGATTATACAAGCTTTGATATTGATGGTTGTGTTTCTTCCAAAGCAGAGAATTATTAGTCAATTATAACTTTCTCAAGGTTTTGGCAAAGAAAAATATTTTTACCTCAAGGGCGTATGTTCAGCATAGTGAAAAATGTGTTTTAGTAAACACCAATGATTACTTTTAAAAGAGTTTGGTTTTCTTAGTGTCATTCAAATGAAAATTTAAAAAGAAAACCCTATTTTCTTAGATTGCTCTGTCTGAATTCATGTGTCTTTGTTCTTGAGGCTGTATTTCTCATTTATTTTAACAACTCTATGTGGAATTGAATAGGTGTGAATTCTGAGCAAAACTATTCAAAGCTTCCATTATCATTTCACAAGTGTCACAAATAATTATAAGTTGTTCTTTCATTTTTAAAGGAGAAGTTTGGCAATGTACTAAAGGAAGCATTATCTTCAAAGATTGCTGCCAAAACTTGTTCTTTGATGACTCTCATATTTGAGAGTATTGACAACATATCACTGGAAAATATGATAACTAAGGATACATTTTCCCCAAACCTCCTATATTGTTTTATGCATGTGAATGTAAAAATTCCCACTACAGATTGTTCCCAGAAATATAGTGTTAGACTGAATTATAACAAATGACATTTTCACAATCATGAGCCTGAATGAGACTTAATGTCTTCTGATGTCTTTAGTGATATTGGTTTCCTGCCACCAACATCTCCCAAACCAACTTCTGGCTTGGGGTTTGGAAGAGATCCTAATTGCTATATTGAGGTTTAGTTCTATCATATTGGGCTTAAATACATGACCATAAAGTTTTAGTGGCATTTTAGAAATTAACACAATTTTTAGAGGTATAACAAATCTGAGGAAATTTTACCTTTAATCGCATTTACCAGAACTCATTCTAATTCTGGCTTCAATTTGCTGTTTCCTTACAAATCAGCAAAATAAAATACATCCACTTAAAGGAAAATGTACCAATTTTCCACATTCATCTTCAGTAGTAGAGACAGAAGCCAACAGCTCTGCAAGAAGACTACAGTCCTCCTTCTATCTGCCACATTTTCCTTGTATTTTTACTCTCCACACTTGGATGACTACATCAGTCTTCTGTTGGCTCAAATTTTAACACCTCCTTATGTGTGCTCACTCTCAGCTTATAGTCTTATTTTCTTTCATTTAGAAGAACAAGGCCATCAGAAGTTTTTTACATGCTCCCATTTCCATTTCTGCAACCTGCCTACATTTGAACCCTTATATGTACACTTCCATTCCCATTGTCATTAAAGGAACTGCCTTCCCTCCCATTGCCATAGATGAACTGCCTTAACTCCTCTATAAGCCAAATCTCCCACCGATGTTCTGGTTCCCTTCCCCTCTCATTTCCTTAAGGATGTAGCTTCAGCAATGCTCTCCTTTCTTCTGCCATAAATTTCACTCCCCACTAAATTATCCACATCAATATAGAAATGTGATGTTTTATCTTCCAAGAGAAACGACTTCCTAAAAGCATATAGGATATTGCTGTTTACTAGAATATAGCATATCTCTGTCTACTTTATCTCTTCTCTTCCTCACCAATCAAGCTTTTGTTTCTACTACACTGAAACAGCTCTGGTGAAGGGCATCAACAATCAATTTTCAGTTCTCATCTTAACCTATAAACAGAATTTGTCATAGTTGATATTTTCTCAAATGCCTTCTTCACCTATCTTCTAGGTCTCCTTCTTCCTTGGTTCTCCTCTCATCACATTAGCTGCCTTATCTCAGTCTCTTGCTATTTTCTTCCATCTTATATATTTTTAATGTTGGAGTACTCAGGTTCAAGTCCTGGGATAGTATTTCTTTTTCTATCTATACACTTATTAAAATATCTCAGCTACTCTCAAAGCTACAATATTATCTATACTCAGAGGATCTCCATATTGTACCTTATGTCTAGATCTCTCAGAAAACTTTGGAATGTTTTGTCCAGCTGCTTACTCCCCATCTACAGTTGGATGTTTAATGGGTATTTCAAATTTGCCATGTACAAACTGAATGTTGGCCTTCTCCCTTCATGAAAATTGATCTTTTAAAACCCCCAATTCAGTCCGTGGCAACCTCGTTTTTCTACTTGCAGCTAAAAATCTTAATTTTGTTACTTCTTGTTTTTATACTCCCCATCAATCTGTCATCAAACCCTGTTCACTTAACTTCAAATATATTCAGAATCTGCAATTTTTTACGACCTCCATTGCTACTACCCTAGTGCAAAGCTACCATCATTCCTCCCCTGAGTTTTTACAGCACTCTTAACTTGTCACTTGCTTCCAGCCTTGAACCTCCACAGCTTATTCTTAACCTAAGCAACATCATATTTCTTCTCTGGTCAAAACCCTAGAAGAGTTTCCCATCTCACATGTACCATTCAGGGTTCTCCAGAACATTGAACCAGTAGGAGATGATAGATAGATAGATAGATAGATAGATAGATAGATAGATAGATAGATAGATGATAGATAGATAGATAGATAGATAGATAGATAGATAGATAGATAGATAATACAGAGAGAGAGACTTTAAGGAATTGGCTCATGTGATTATGGGGGCTGGTAAGTCTGAAATCTAAAGGACACTCTGGTGCACTAGAAATCAGGCAAGAGTCAATGTTGTAGTTTTAAGGCAGAATTTCTTCACCTCCAGGAAATCTCAGTTTTTGCTCTTAAGGCCTTTTCATCCTGGAGACCCACCATATTGATACAGACAGGAAACAGGGAAATACTGGGTAAAAGAGGGCAGTTCCCCAGCAAATGCCCTGACCCTAAGCCTGGAAGCCCACAGCCCTAAATGGGAACAAGCATTCCTGTTTTCATGACTGAATGTTGCCTTTTGGCCCACCACACTTCCCTATCCTGTACCCATATAAACCCCAAACTCCAGGGTCCATGAGCAGACGAGCAGATGAACAGATGTACAGAAGAGCAGAGAGGCAGAGAAGCAGCTCAGCAGAGAAGGAGAGAAGAGAAGAGTCTGAACGTCGAGAGGAGTTCAGCTGGAGACAGTCAGAGAGGAGGTCAGCTGTGGAACAGCCAAACTCCAGAGGAAGATCATCTTCCCACTCCATCCCCTTTCCAGTTCCCCACCCGTCCCATTAAGAGCCAACTCCATCATCCAATAAAATCCCCATATTCACTATCCTTCAAGTCCATGTGTGATACCAAGAGGGCACTGGTTGACACTTAAGCCATCTGTGGATGGCAGAGATGAAAGAACATGGTAGCACACCTACTGGGGCTTTGAGAGTCGCATACCCACATCCCTAGATGCCACCATAGGGCTGGACCCCAGACACATTTTCCCTGGCTCCTGCACCTGCCCATTTGCATGCTCCCCCTCCTGTAAGGGGTTTGAGCAGTGGTGGCCAAACAGATGAGCAACACTTCTGTCACACATCCTGAGAGGGGAGTCAGGGAGCAGAGAACTCTCCTGTTTCAGTATGATCAAGGATAATCTCCTGTACTTAAAGTCAGCTGATTGTAGATGTTAGTCACACCTAGAATAACTCCCCAATAGCACCTAGATTAGTGTTTCATTAAATAATTAGGTACTATAGCCTGCTCAAATTGACACACAAAACAAAGCATCACATCAAACAAAGCCCCAAATTTCCTTAAAATTGCCTATAAAGTTCCATATAATCTAGCTCTGTGTTATCTCTGTCTCCATCTCTTGTCATTCTTCTTCATATTCACTCTGGTCCAGTCACACTGTTCTCCCTGCAATTGCTCAAATTTACCAAGTAGGTTTTTTTCTTTAGAAACTTTTGTTTTTCTCTCTGAAATATATATCCCCTAAAGGCCTCAACTTGCTCATATTTTGCTCAAAATCTCCCTTCTTCCCTTTACAACTTTATCACCCTTCATAACACTCATCACAATCTGACATGTAACATATTTACACGCTTCTGTGTTCATTGTCTATCTCTTTCCACTAGGATCTAAGCTTTAGGAGGGCAGGGATCTTTGTCTATTATGCTCACAGGGAACAGTGTCTGAAACATAATGATCTGCTCAATTAATGCATGTTTTTAAAGATATCACAAAGATTTCTATGCTTACACTGAAGTATTTCCAGTAAGTGTAGTCTAAGGGCATTGGATTGTAGATTTTAAAGCCTGAGATCTAATGGCAGCTCTGCCACTCACCTTACCTCCTCTTTGGCAAGTCACTTAACTACGTCAGTGTACAGAGTTCTCCAACTGTGGAACAAGCATACCGAATGAGGTTCTCATCAATTTCAAAATCCCATCTTGTTCCTTTTCTCTATATCTTACTTTATTTAAATAGGACCTCACATTATACTACAAATGATATTACAGTGACATTGTAAACATATACAAGTTATAATACAGGGATATTACAGGTCAACAGGTTGAAAAGCCTACACATTACCTAACTATTAAAAAGTATAGTATAAACTATTACCTCCTAATTGAGGAGGTATAAATGAAAACCAACATGGTGCTTGTTTTATTTATGCCAACAAATTAAGAATGTCTTTTCAGATGTTACCCAACCTCATTCCAATGTTATAAACACATGTCCATATATTACTTATAATGCCTTGCACACCTGGAGGGCCAACTATGGATTTCAGAAGCTGAAAGGTCCATCTCTTCATAAAGACTCCACTTTTTCTTCCTCCATACTTGAGAACACTCTGTTCTCTGTGAAATGTAATGTAAAAAATGTTGTCATTCTGGTTTAGAGTTCTAAAATGGGGTCAAGAAACCATTCCAGGGAGACCACCTGCATGATCTGCAACCTTGTAAAGCAGTGTTGTAGGAAGAAACCAGTTCTTGTCACATGACCAGGAAAGATTAGGCTCACAGACACATACAAGGGTGAGGAGTGGAATTTATCAAGTGAAAAGGAAGAAGGAAATACAACTCAGCAAAGTGAGATGGAGTCCTGCTAACAGGCTCTCCACCTCAATGGATTAAATCCCAAGTTACTATCCAGGAACAGGAGAGGCCGGGCTCCTCCCCACTGCAAACGTCAGGAATTTCCTGAGGCTCTACCCCATCCTTACAGTGTGCAGGCTAGTTGGCGATTCTCTGGGGACCCCTTTTTACTTGGTTGTCTCAGCAGGAGCTTGTCTTAAACCTTTGAAGTGGGCCAAACTGCCATGACCACAACATCCTGGAAAACGGCTGACTTTTGCCACTGCTGCAACTCCTGAGCAGTGACAACCAATGAACTATGGAGTCAGGTATTATTTTGATAATTCTTTCAAAATAACTTATGTGATCACTTTTAGCATTCTGTTAAAAGTTCCCATTCTCCTTCCTTTCTTTGGGACACAACTTGCCTTCTAGTTGCATCTGGTCTCCTGAATTGCAATTCCTAAGACCCCAGTAAACACCCTGTCTTATTGCTTTGCACTCTGGTCTCCTTGGTAACATCTCCTTGATGTCTATATAATCTTTTTTCATAGTTTATTTTCCCCTCTTCATGGTTCCTGAATGCTTATTATCTTTATGAAGTAAAGCAGCAATTGCACCTTGTTTGATGGTACCCCAAAGCCCTGTGAATCCAATCTACAGGGCTCTTTAGGTTTTCCTACTTTTCTTTACGGGAAGTAATGACTAGGGTCACTAATTGGCACTTTCAGCAGTCTTCAGTGACCCACTTTCTATTTCTTCTCTCTTTCACTTCAAGACAGAAGTGTGAGTATTCATTGTCCATAAGACTTTAAATCCATGTAGTCAATACTTTACAACCCTTAACCACAATCAATATTAGAGACTTGTACAACACTGCAGTGCATTTTCTCTTGCCCAGAAGCTTTCATTTCCTATGAGAGAGAGAAAATGATGAATCCTGTATAATCAATATTTCAGATGTTGAGTTTCTCTAAACCTTTCAGCTCTAGGAAAGGAACCAAGTCAGTTATAACCATCATATAAATTTTTACAGGGTTTTGCTTTCTCTGGCTTAATAATAAATTAAATTTCTAAAATATCTAGGATGAAAAGACTCATAGCTAAAATTCAAAAGTTCAGCTTTGTTCTGACTGCAATCATAGGCACAAGTAAATTAGTGCTAATGCAGAAGAAATGCATGGAGACCAATTAGACGGAAAAATCTAAGAAAGAACATAGCCACAAAAGACTTTAATTGAAGTTAATCTCACAGTAGAGAAAATGGTTACGTGGCAAGGCAAATTGAAATACTCATTAAAAATGCAACTGTGCTTGACAAGGGAATCTTGGCCTTTCTGGAAATTTAGACCAGTCCTTTGAACTCTGACCACTATATCTCCATAATACCACAAAAAACAAACAAACAAAAAAAAAGAAAGAAAAAATTGCCTCTTTTAAGATTGAAAACATACATTGTTAATTCTAGGTTCCCAATTTTACCCTTTGAACTTACATAGAATTAGTCAAACTAAGGCTCTAGAGAAACAGTTTTCAATGTTGAAAACTAATTCAACGTTGTTTCTAGTGCTTCAAATCCCTGAACGCTTTTGCAAAATATAGGCCATATTTGGATGCCTGCTAAGGTCAAGCCCCCATGCTAGATGCATTACATATGTTATCTCAATTAAACATCACAGAAAAACTGCAGGTAGGCGTTATGATTCACATTTCATGGATTAGAAAACTAAGGTTCAGAAAGGTTAAGACAATTTACACAAGGCTATGCAGCTAGCGTGAGAAAACTCAAATGCAGTTTTGATCTATCAGATTCCACAGTTAATGTTCTTTCTCTTCATTATTTATTTATAAGTTTTATGTATACATAATAGTTGTACATATAATGGGGTGCATGTGATATTTTGATACAAGTATACAATGGATAATGATCAAATCTGGCTAATTGGGTTATCCATCACCTCAAAAACCTACCATTTCTTTATGTTGGGAACATTCCAAATCTTTGTTACCGAAATGAACTGACATCCACTTGCCTGGTGCAGTAAAGCCAAACATCCAACACCAAAGTTTTGCAGTAGGAAAAAGGAAAGTATTTATTTTCAGGGTGTCAAGCAAGGAGAATCAGACAGGTCATGCTTAAGACTTGACCTCCCTGATGGCTTACATGTAAGGACTTCTAAAGGCAGGGAGGCAGAGGTTACAGGCAAAGTCATAAATCAATACCTGGAGGCTATACATTGGATTGTCCTAAAAAGGCAGGATATCTTGAAGTGGGGGTTTTCGGGTCACAGGTAGATTCAAAGACTTTCTGATTTGCAATTGATTAAGGGAGAAAAGCTTTGTTTAAAAATTTTGGGTCAGCAGAAAGAAATGTTAGGTCTGGCCTGTGGGTATGACTTCCTCTAGGCCCCTAAGGAAGAAATTTAAAACGAAGAACAGTGGTCGAGACTCTAGTCCTTACTTCCCTCTTATCTGAGGTCTACATGACAGTGGATCCATCTGGTGGGGTCTGGGTTTCTGAGAGACAACTCAGAGACATATATTAAGATGTTATCTTTAGTTTCCATAGGGAATCAAATATTTAGTGACTCTAATTTCTGTGGCTATTGTTTCTTAAAACAAAACAACAGCTACTATTACCTTCTTATCAGGTTGATCATTTACTTCTCAAGGCTATCTAGGTGCCTGAAATTTCCCTTGAAGACACTCAATATTTTCCTTTATTCTTATACTTCAGTAGGGGCAGCAGCAGGCCCCTATGAGGGGTCCTTGCCCCATCTCATCTTTGCTTCTAGATATTTCAAAATATACAATAAATTAATTAACTATAATTGCCCAATTGTGCTACCAAAGACTAGATCTTATTCTTCCTATCTAATTGTATTTTTGTACTCATTAACCAATCCCAAAATGTCCATCAATGGATGAATGGATAGAGAAAATGTGGTACGCATACACAACAAAATATTATTTAGCCATAAAAAAGGAGGTAATCCTGTCATTTGCAGCAACATGGATAGAACTGGAGGACATTATGTTAGGTGATCTGTCAGGCACGGAAAGACAATATCACATGTTCTCACTCATATGTGGGAGCTAAAAAACAATTGATCTCGTGGAGGTAGTAAATAGAATGGTAGTTGATGTCCTTTCTACTGAGCAGCATAAAAACGAGTCACAATTGAGACTGAGTTAGAGGAAGCATTTTTTATTTATTTTTTAACTTCAGAGACTTGGGAATCAATCAGCTAGGATTGCACCTGATAAAACAGTCTCTGGACTGCTTTCCCAGATCACAAGGAAGCAGGGCCTAGGACTCCAGCAGAAGAGCCCAGCAAGATGGTCAAAGGAAAACTTCCTAGGCCTAGATGTTCAGGGACAAGATTGGTGAGGAAGAAGTGAATCATTAACAGTGACCATTTGATCACTAAAATAAGTGTCATTTGCTGCATGGATGTGTGTTTCGATATTTTGCATCCAGTTTATTGATAATGTAATAAGGAAACTAAAACGTGCATAGTACTTCAGAGTTCACATCGTGTTTTGTGACTGACTACCTCTCAATATACCCACAACAATCCTGGAGTCATGTATGACATACTTTTAGAATCTTTAAAGAATATGACATACTTTGTAGAATCACTATCAATTTTGGGCAGCCTACTGTATACTAACTACTCTACCAGGAGTTCATACATTACCAAATTATATACTCATAACACCCTTTAGTCAGGAAGAAACTTAGGTACGATTTTACTGTCCCCCAAATCAAGAAGCTAGTAAGATAAAATCAAAGCAAAAATAAGTAAGTAAGTAAATAAATAAATAAATAGGGGGGAGAAACAGTGGCTTCATTTTAATTTAAAAAAGAAAAGTGATTTGCTATATGAAGGCAACTCAGTATACTCTCCCAGCACCACCCCATTTCAGTCACCTTGCTGGCCTTAAGAATCTTCTGCATAGAATTTCTGGGCTCCCACTGAGCAGAAAAGGCTTAAATTGAAGCCTGATTCCACATCTAGAATTAAAATTAAATCAATTGCATTTGTATTAGTTTCATATATTACTACAACATATTACCCAAAACAATACAAATGTATTATCTTCCCTTTCTGGAAGTCAGAAGTTTGAAACAGGGCTTACTAGGTATAAAATCAAGGTGTTGACAGGGCTGCATTCCTTTTGGGGGCTCTGGAGGAGAATCAGTTTCTTTTTACTTTTTCGTTTCTAGAGGCTGCCTACATTCCTTGGCTCCCGGGTCCTTCCCACATTTTCAAAGGCATCAGAGTAGCATCATTGAATCCCTCTCTGACTGTGACCTCCTCTTGTGCTGGTATTTTCTTCTTGTAAGGATTCTTGTGTTTACATTAGGCCCACCCATAGATAATCTTCCCATCTAAAGGTCATCAATTTAACAACAGCTGTAAAGTCTCTTTTCCCAAGTAACCTAGCATATTCACTGGTACCAGGGATTAGATATAAACATCTTTAGGGGGCTATTAGTACGCCTTCCACAGCACATTTGTCTGAAATTCACATTTGCTGATCTGGAAACAGACTTTTAAAAGTTTATAATAAAGGATGTGATTGCCTTTTAATATGAAAGATGATAAAAAATACTTTTGATTATAACTTAACAAAGTTCTTAATATTATTTCCAAGGAGCAAAATTTTTTAACTTGACATCTAAGAAAGGGTCCACATTTGGGCTACATAATAAAATAAACCAAAACAACAGTTGATGAGTGGAGAAACAAACTACCGTAGCAAAAATAAATGCCATAAAATTTAAGGCACAAAGAGATGAAAGATGTATGTCAGACCCATCAGCTTCAATGCTAGGCTTTTCCATCTTCTAGCTAGGTGACTATAGCTAACTTACTTAAGAAATCTGTGCCGCTGGAAACCATCATTCTGAGCAAACTATCGCAAGCACAGGAAACCAAACACCGTATGTTCTCACTCATAGGTGGGAACTGAACAATCAGAACACTTGGACACAGGGTGGGGAACATCACACACTGGGGCCTGTCGTGGGGTCGGAGGCTGGGGGAGGGATAGCATTAGGAGAAATACCTAATGTAAATGACGAGTTAATGGGTGCAGCACACCAACATGGCACATGTATACCTATGTAACAAACCTGCACGTTGTGCACATGTACCCTAGAACTTAAAGTATAATAATAATAATAATAATAATAATAATAATAATAATAATAATAAAAGAGTACATGAAAAAAAAGAACAAAAAGAAATCTGTGCCTATTTCTACGTTTCATATGTAAAATTGAGACTGTTTTAATATCACAGCTGTTTTACGGTTGTTGTGAGGATTAGAGATCATACCACTTCCGGCCAGGCGCAGTGGCTCACGCCTGTAATCCCAGCACTTTGGGAGGCGGAGGCAGGTGGATCATGAGGTCAAGAGATCAAGACCATCCTGGCCAACATGGTGAAACCCTGTCTCTACTAAAAATACAAAAATTAGCTGGGCATGGTGACGGGCGCCTGTAGTCCCAGCTACTTGGGAGGCTGAGGCAGGAGAATAGCTTGAACCCAGGAGGCAGAGGTTGCAGATTGCGCCACTGCACTCCAGCCTGGGCGACAGAGTGAGAGTGAGACTCCTGTCTTAAAAAAAAAAAAAGAAAGAAAGAAAGAAAGAAAAATCACACCACTTCCACCCCTATCACAGGGCTTGGTCCATGGCAGTTACTTGGTAAAAGGTAATTATTTAATTTTCACTTCTTTTAGTTCTGTTATTACTACACAAGAAACTCCCCATGCAAGGATGTTTTCCATTACATGGTTAAATGTATAACAGTTCTATTCCTAAATGAAATTTGGCTTCAGGAGAGTTTCTGCAGGGCTAGAACTCTTTTCATAATAATACTTTACAAAACTGCCTGATGAACTGCCCAGTAACAAATTAAAGAAATGGTCGAGTTTTGACAATTAAATTACACAAAGCTCCAAATGCCGTTATCACAAAACTAAAAATAGACAACACTGAAATGCTAATTCAGCTGAAGACACACTGATAGCAAGATATACTGTCTGCAAGCTATAACAGGACATAAATAATCTCCTGACTTGAGTTAGACGTCAATTTAATAAATAAAGAAGTATATAGATCTTACAATGTAAATATAATTACTGACCCCTTTTTCCAGTTCTGTGAGGTCATTAAGTAATTCTTGACATGACCATCCCACGTCAGCATTAAAATGAAAAGGTTTCTGACCTAGCTGATCATACACAAATTACTTCAAACCTCAATTTAACTAGGATACACAGACCATAAGTTTTACAAAATATTATGCTAAATATCTAGCAGGTAATACATTCCCTATAAAAATATAAATAAAGGCAACATAAAATATTATTTTATAAATTAAAAAGAAAAATATTTAGAGTTGTTGATAGGAAATACTATTATTTTGGTCATCAAAATACCTAATGCTGTATTTCTGGACTAACAATTCAACAAAACAAACATGTTTCTGGTAGAAAATCTATCAAACATCAAAGAAGGAGATTTTATCAGTAAAACAAGAGGAAAAGCTTCTTGGTGTAATACCTGTGGCATATATTAAAATGTGCATATTTTGTTCCACAATCTATGACAAATCCCACCTGTAAAGTTTATAGCTTCTTTAACTAGATATGAAAACTGCAAACTCCACCCACAGGCTTCCATATTCATAAACAAAATAGATCAAAGCAATAATGATTTGTTCTTTTATAACATTGTTTCCTATGAGGAAATTACTTTATGGTTTCCTGTCTTATTCTTTTGAAATTTCAATGAAAATCTGAAAACTTTTATTGCCATTTAAATTTCAAATTACAACTAGCACATAAGATAGTGCCAGCCAAGGCAAAGAAATGCCACCACTGCTAAAGACCCAGAGAGTCAGTATGTGTTGCCAAAGGCCCTCCTGATTTCATCAGTGTGATTTCATCAGAGTCCTGGGATGAAGAATCAGAGAAAAGTTTATATTCCTATGGCTGCTAGAACACTGGGATTTTAATATAATCAAAGAATTAGGTCTTGAAGGATTTAGGATGGAAGTCTTTGGCTATCTACAACTCTAAGATTTTGAAGTTGGGAAAACTATTGAAATAAGAAGAATGTAAAATGACAAGGGCCTTGATGTGAGGCCTTTGCTGCACGATATGGTGTTAAATGAAGCTAACCAATTTCCACTTTGTAGTTTCGACAGAATATCCAGAGGGCTTTTTGAAAGTAAAACAAAATGAAAGGAACAAAGGCTGAGAGATCATTTTATCAAGGGGCCCTTGGTTTACACGGTAGTTCAGTTTGGGCAAGTCAATATCAGAAAACTCAAGAAATACCAAAGAACTTCTCCTCCTCAGAATCTCATTTCATCTTTCACACAAGAGCATACTTTAATGTGCATTTCATCATTTTTCTGAAGTTAGACTTCTCTTATTTTTCCATTCAAGAGAAAATATGACTGAGTCCATTTTGGACTATGGGAGCTTTAATATGCTACTTCAGTACACAGAAATAGTGTTTTGCATATACCAGGTTTGCTGAAAAATTGGATTAATTACTTTGTCAAAAAATATTTTCTGAGTATCTTTAATGATTATAATATATTGTGATATAAGCTAAGTTCTTTTTTTTTTTCCCCCTGATACAGGGTCTCAATCTGTCACCCAGGCTGGAGTGCAGTGGCTCATCATGGCTCAATGCAGGCTCAACCTCCTGGGTTCAAGTAATCCTCCCACCTCAGCCTCCCAAGTAGCAGAGATTACAGATGTAAGCCATCATCCCGGCTAATTTTTATATTTTTTGTAGAGACAGGGTTTCTCCATTTGACCAGGCTGGTCTCAAACTCCTGAGCTCAAGTAATCCACCCACCTTGACCTCCCAGAGTGCTGAGATTACAGGCATGAGCCACTGCCCCAGGCCAACCTATACTAACTTCTGAGAACAAAATAATGATCATGAAAAAGAATAGTTCCTGTCCTCATGGAAATTATGGCCTACAGAGACAAACGATAAATGACTAATTATTCATTTCAAACGTGATAAGCAATATGAAGCAGAATAGGCTATGATGAGAACTATTAATAGATTTGATTAAGTAGGGCCTCAGATAATGATTCCTAGAGAATAGATACATAAGCTGATTTTGAAGGATGAGCAAGATATTAGGGCAGAGGGCTTGAAGCTGCAATGAGGAGAAAGAGGACTATGGCGGCTGAGCTAACAGGGCCCAGATTGGATTGAAGTATTGCAAGTTTGAGAACTGAGAGAACAGCAAAATGAGCAGAACCAAGAGTGAGGGGGTAATAGCATGATATAAGGTAGAGGGAGAAGCAGGAAGACATGCTAGGCCGAGAGGCCATATCAAATGTTTTACTTCTGTCCTAAAAACAATGACAAATCATTAAAATATATTGAATAATATACAATCAAACTTATGTTTTTAATAGATAATTTTGGCTGCAATGTGAAAATGAGTCCATTATTTTTAATGAAGCATTTATTTTTCAAAAACTCATAGCATTTCCCCACACTACATGGCAATAGAAGATCAAAAGGAAAATGAGTGCAAAAGGTCAATGAAAAATAAATATACCCTAAATAAATCTGAATTCAGATGCAACTATGTGATTTGATGGAATATTGTAAATACAAGTGTCGGACTCAAACTAGGATCTCTGTCAGTAGAGTACAAACTCTGAGGCTGCATTCTTCTTTACTGTCTGTCCACTAATTTATCCCCAGCACATAGAACTGGGTATGACGATAAGAAATCTTCAATAAATACTAACTCAATGAATGAACAAACCATCAAATAAAAATTTGTTTCCAATCACCTTACATTAGTAATGATTATATTCCCCATACTTCCCCTGATAATTTCCACCAATATCTTTTTATAGTCTTCTTCTTCCACCACTCCTGCAAACTTAAGCCAAAGGAAGGCAGTGGAGCTCAGTAAGAAGATGAGCATGGTGCAAAGTGGCATCAAATAACAATGAATTCACAGTCTGAAGGAAAAAATTCTAAGGAAGTATAAGATACAAAGAGAATGAATTAGTTTAGGGCATTACATCCTTATCTAAAGAGGTTCAAGCCCCACTAGGGCGTGGTAATATATAGCCACTGATGACACCCTGTTTTCAAGTGTCCATGTTGAAATTATTGTGTTAAACGTGATCAGATGAGGGAGTATGCAGTTCAATGACGAGTCCACTATTGCAAAATATCAAAGGCATCTTACACGTGCACAGTCAACATCATTATCCTCTAATGGAAAGCAGATGGGAAAGTAAAGTGTGAGATATCATTAGGCTGATGGTTGAACAGTTCTGCACCTCCCACTCTTCCTCTGCAGCAGCACTGAACACTTCCTGTGTATTCAATGTTCAGTCAGCCAGGAAAGATAGAACCTCATGCATCCATTGCCTATACACATACACACACACACACACACACACACACACACGCACACCTTAGACACACGCATCTGCCTTAGGTGGAAAAAATCTGTGTGAGAGCGTACATTAGAGAGCAGGCAGAACCCACTGGCTGGTGATCTCTGAAACTTAAGAGCCATGCTTGGGCCCAAAGACCAATCTCCAAGTCACTTCATACGCCAAATTCTATAAAAAGACAAACTGTTATTCAAGAGTGAAACTAACATAAGGACATTTTAGATCTATGAGGACTCACAGTATTTGCCCTGGAGAGATGTATACAAAAGAGTTACTGGAGAAGGTGCCTCAGCAAGTAGTGAAATGAAGCCAGGAGGAAGTAATAAAATGCAGAAAGTAATGCTAAGTTATTTACTCAATATTATTGGAAAGTTTTAATAGGTATTGATTATTAAAGTACACGTACAATAGAAAACTAATTTAAGGATATTATCAATATACAAATTCTGCCCATGAATTAATTCTATGTTTATATGCTTGCACATTATGTAGGGGAAGATGAGAGTTGCCCAAGGTAGGAGGGGGCACAGAAGTGGAAATTAGATGATATAAACACAGTTTATGTCTTTTCTTTCTTTTTTTTTTTTCGAGATGGAGTTTCACTCTTGTTGCCCAGGCTGGAGTGCAATGGCGTGATCTCTGCTCACCTCAACCTCTGCTTCCTGAGTTCAAGCGATTCTACTGCCTCAGCCTCCCGAGTAGCTGGGATTACAGGCATGCGCCACTGCGCCTGGCTAATTTTATATTTTTAGTAGAGATGGTGTTTCTCCATGTTGGTCAGGCTGGTCTCAAACTCCCAACCTCAGGTGATACACCTGCCTCAGCCTCCCAAAGTGCTGGGATTACAGGCGTGAGCCACCACGCCAGGCCTATGTCTTTAGACAGATGGCTTAGTAATTTTAATCTTTGCTTTAAAAAGTGTAAGTTTGAACATTTATGTTAAAGTGAAAAAGGAAACAAGAATAGAAATACAAGTATCATTTTCAATTTAGAAAACACAAACATAGAAAAAGGTAAATGATGCATCTAACAAAACCAAGGAAGGAAGACAAAAGAAACAATGAGATAACATGGTGAATAAAAAACACACGAAGCAAGATTTCAAGATTTCAGTGGACACAGTAAATATTAATGTGCTTAGCTCATCTTTTAGAAAACATTTTAAGATTTGTTAAAACAAATCAACCACGTTCTATTTTAAGGTCCACACATTTATAAAAATGACACAAGAAAGTTGAAATTAAAGGCAAATGCTAACGAAAAAAAGCTGGGTTGGCAGTGGCACAAAAAAGAATTCAAAGCAAACAGCTTTAAGTGAGTTGACATATTTACAAATCAACAGTCCAATAAGAAAATATAAATATCATAAGTTTTACACATCTAACAGCATAAGTTCAAAACTTTAAAGGAAAACTGATATTCCCCTAGAGAAATAGATAAGTCCAAATTTCACAGCAGGGGGATATAACACATCTCTGATTGAAGTTACAAGATAAAATAGAAAATAAAATTAGTATAGAGGATTTGAATACCACATTTAAGAAGTTTGATTTAACACATGCAAACAAACCTGCATGCATACACACACACACACACACACACACAATGTTGCACAAAAGACAGCATATTCTTTTTTAGTACATTTACAAAAAAAATTGTTGTGCCACACTGTAAAGACAATTTCATTTCAAAAATTAGTATTTTACAGTACTTATTCATTGACTCTATTTTAAAAATTAGTAATCATCAATAAAAATAGAAAAATTTATGCATCTGAAAATTAAAGTTCACATTACCAGTCATTGCACTACATGGGAAATTAAAATAAATGATAAAACAGTGATCACAAATATAGCCAAAAAGACATATACAAAGATGTTTAGTTCATTATTGTTTTAAACAAAAACAACAGCAAAAAAAAAATATTGGAGAACATGGCAGTTCTTCAATACAATAAATAAAATTGCTAAATAAAATGTGAGACACTTAATGTATAAAATACTAATTATATATGTAGATACTCTCATGGATAGATTTGCTTATAGCATTTGGGAGCATCTACACAGAAACAATAAAGGAAGAAATAGAGCACTATATAATCTATACGGAGATCACATATGTATACAAATCCATAGAAAAACATCTGATAATAAAGACATCTAACAAAGAGGTAGGGAAAAGACAGATTTAATTTTATGGTCAAAAAGGACCTTAGCATTTTTTATAATATTTTATTTACTTGGTTGGAAGCAAGTATTTACTTGGTTGGAAATAAAATTATTTTATAACTTAACTAACTTTGATCAATTATAGACAGTATGTAGAAGAGAAAGATAGAGAGAAAAAGAGAAAGTGAGAGAGGAAAGGAGCAGGAGGAGAAGGAGGAGAAAGAGTAGAAAGTGGAGGAGGAGAGAAAGAGACAAAAAGAACTCTGGTGAGGATGGGGAAAAGTTCTTTAAATAGGGTGATAGGTGAAGTATGTCTGAGGAATTGACATTTGAGTAGAAGACTGAACTAAGTGAGGAAGTTGATCATGTGGAATATAGAAAATGTTAGGCAGTGGGAATGAACAGCAAGTACAATGGGCCTAAGGCCAGCTTGGTATATTAGAGGAAGAGCAAAGGGGAGAACATAGAGAGGTAAGCAGGAGCTACATCTTTTGGGACTTTGTCTGGATTTTATCTGAAGAATTATGAGAAACCAATTGGAGGACTCTTAGCAGGGGAGGAATCTGATTTACATTTTGCTGCTCTTAAATTAGACTTTTTATTTGACATAATTGTGGATTTACATGTAGTTGTAAGAAATAATATAGAGAGAGCCCATGTACCATTTACCCAATTTCCTCCATTAGTAACGTATTGTGAAACTGTAGCACAGTATCACAGTCAGGATATGGACACTGATATTGTCAAGATACAGAATACTTCCATCACAACAAGGGTCCCTCATGCTGTCTCTATACAACCATCCCCACGCTGTCCTTATAGCCCAGCAACATTAATCTCTTCTCCATTTCTATAATTTTATCATTTCCAGAATGTTACAGAAATGGAATCATACAATGTAACCTTGGGATTACCCAGCACCATTCATCTGTCCTCCATTTTTATAATTTTATCATTTCCAGAATGTTATAGAAATGGAATACATAGGATGTAAACTTTTGGGATTGGCGTTTTTCATTTAACAAAGTTCTCTGGAGATTCACAGAGGTGGTTGATAGTTTGCTTCTTTTGATTGCCAGGCACTATTCCACGGTACCTGCTAACCATTCATATAAGTTAGCATGGTTAACAAGTACCTGTTTAACCATTCACTTACTATAGGATATCTGGTTTTGGCTATTAGAAATAAAACTGCTCTAAACATTCATGTACAGATTTTTGTGTGTACCTGTTTTCATTTCTTTAGGATAAATGCCCAGGAGTGCTATTCCTGGGTTGCGTGGTAGTTGCATGCTTAGTTTTTAAAGAAACTCCCATACTGAATTCCAGAGTTGCTGTACCATTTTACATTCTCATCAGCAATGTATGAGTGATATAGTTTCTCCATTTTCTTGCCTACAGTCTTTGCCGTTTTGTTTTTATTTTAGCCATTCTGATATGTGTGTAGTGCTAAGTTTCTCATTGTGATTTTAATTTGCATTTTCCTAATGTGTAATGATAATAAAAATTTTTCCATTTGCTTATTTGCAAATCTATATTTTCTTCAGCAAAATGTTTATTCATAACATTTGCTCATCATCTAAGTGAATTTTTGTTTACCATTAAGTTCTGGGGAATTCTTTATATATTTTATGTAACAGTGTTTTATGAATTTTTTTGTAATTATTTTCTCCCTGTTATAGCTTATCTTTTTGTCTTCTCCATAAGGTTTTTGCAGAGAAAAACTTTTTAATTTTGATGAGGTTTAATTTATCAAATATTATTTTTGTAGATGGCACTTAATATTCTAAGAACTCTTTGTTGTCCTAGATCTTAAAGATTTTCTCCTATATCTTTTCTAAAAGTGTTATAGTTTTATATCATACATTTAATTCTGTGATTCATTTCCGATTAATTTTTATATAAGACATGAGACACAGATCAAAGTTCTTTTGTTTGTTTGTTTATGGAAATACAAACTCTCCAGTACCATTTGTTGAAAAAGCTATGCTTCCTTTATTGAATTTGTTTTCATTTTTGTCAAAAATTAGTTGTGCATACATTTGTGGGCCCATTTCTGAGTTCTCTATTGTATTTCACTGAGCAATGTGTCTATTTCTCCACCAGTCCTATGCAATCATGATTACTATAGCTATACAACAAGTTGTATAATACATCATGAAATTCACAGCCGAATTCTACCAGAGGTACAAGGAGGAAGTGGTACCATTCCTTCTGAAACTATTCCAATCAATAGAAAAAGAGGGAATCCTCCCTAACTCATTTTATGAGGCCAGCATCATCCTGATAACAAAGCCAGGCAGAGACACAACCAAAAAAGAGAATTTTAGACCAATATCCTTGATGAACATTGATGCAAAAATCCTCAATAAAATACTGGCAAGCCGAATCCAGCAGCACATCAAAAAGCTTATCCACAATGATCAAGTGGGCTTCATCCCTGGGATGCAAGGCTGGTTCAATATATGCAAATCAATAAATGTAATCCAGCATATAAACAGAACCAAAGACAAAAACCACATGATTATCTCAATAGATGCAGAAAAGGCCTTTGACAAAATTCAACAACCCTTCATGCTAAAAACTCTCAATAAATTAGGTATTGATGGGACATATCTCAAAATAATAAGAGCTATCTATGACAAACCCACAGCCAATATCATACTGAATGGGCAAAAACTGGAAGCATTCCCTTTGAAAACTGGCACAAGACAGGGATGCCCTCTCTCACCACTCCTATTCAACATAGTGTTGGAAGTTCTGGCCAGGGCAGTTAGGCAGGAGAAGGAAATAAAGGGTATTCAATTAGGAAAAGAGGAAGTCAAATTGTCCCTGTTTGCAGATGACATGATTGTTTATCTAGAAAACCCCATTGTCTCAGCCCAAAATCTCCTTAAGCTGATAAGCAACTTCAGCAAAGTCTCAGGATACAAAATCAATGTACAAAAATCACAAGCATTCTTATACACCAATAACAGACAAACAGAGAGCCAAATCATGAGTGAACTCCCATTCACAATTGCTTCAAAGAGAATAAAATACCTAGGAATCCAACTTACAAGGGACGTGAAGGACCTCTTCAAGGAGAATTACAAACCACTGCTCAGTGAAATAAAAGATGATACAAACAAATGGAAGAACATTCCATGCTCATGGGTACGAAGAATCAATATCGTGAAAACGGCCACACTGCCCAAGATAATTTATAGATTCAATGCCATCCCCATCAAGCTACCAATGACTTTCTTCACAGAATTGGAAAAAACTACTTTAAACTTCATATGGAACCAAAAAAGAGCCTGCACCGCCAAGTCAATCCTCAGCCAAAAGAACAAAGCTGGAGGCATCACACTACCTGACTTCAAACTATACTACAAGGCTACAGTAACCAAAACAGCATGGTATTGGTACCAAAACAGAGATATAGATCAATGGAACAGAACAGAGCCCTCAGAAATAACGCCACATATCTACAACTATCTGATCTTTGACAAACCTGAGAAAAACAAGCAATGGGGAAAGGATTCCCTATTTAATAAATGGTGCTGGGAAAACTGGCTAGCCATATGTAGAAAGCTGAAACTGGATCCCTTCCTTACACCTTATACAAAAATCAATTCAAGATGGATTAAAGACTTAAACATTAGACTTAAACCCATAAAAACCCTGGAAGAAACCCTAGGCATTACCATTCAGGACATAGGCATGGGCAAGGACTTCATGTCTAAAACACCAAAAGCAATGGCAACAAAAGCCAAAATTGAAAAATGGGATCTAATTAAACTAAAGAGCTTCTGCACAGCAAAAGAAACTACCATCAGAGTGAACAGGCAACCTACAAAATGGGAGAAAATTTTCACAACCTACTCATCTGGCAAAGGGCTTATATCCAGAATCTACAATGAACTCAAACAAATTTACAAGAAAAAAACAAACAACCCCATCAAAAAGTGGGCGAAGGACATGAACAGACACTTCTCAAAAGAAGACATTTATGCAGCCAAAAAACACATGAAAAAATGCTCACCATCACTGGCTATCAGAGAAATGCAAATCAAAACCACAATGAGATACCATCTCACACCAGTTAGAATGGCGATCATTAAAAAGTCAGGAAACAACAGGTGCTGGAGAGGATGTGGAGAAATAGGAACACTTTTACACTGTTGGTGGGAGTGTAAACTAGTTCAACCATTGTGGAAGTCAGTGTGGTGATTCCTCAGGGATCTAGAACTAGAAATACCATTTGACCCAGCCATCCCATCACTGGGTATATACCCAAAGGACTATAAATCATGCTGCTATAAAGACACATGCACACGTATGTTTATTGGGCACTATTCACAATAGCAAAGACTTGGAAGCAACCCAAATGTCCAACAATGATAGACTGGATTAAGAAAATGTGGCACATATACACCATGGAATACTATGCAGCCATAAAAAATGATGAGTTCATGTCTTTTGTAGGGACATGGATGAAACTCGAAATCATCATTGTCAGTAAACTATCGCAAGAACAAAAAGCCAAACACCGCATATTCTCACTCATTGGTGGGAATTGAACAATGAGAACACATGGACACAGGAAGGGGAACATCACACTCTGGGGATTGTTGTGGGGTGGGGGGAGGGGGGAGGGATAGCTTTAGGAGATATACCTAATGCTAAATGACGAGTTAATGGGTGCAGCACACCAGCATGGCACATGTATACATATGTAACCTGCACATTGTGCACATGTACCCTAAAACTTAAAGTATAATAATAATAAAATAAAATAAAATAAAGAAATTGACTAGATGGGTTTTCTCTCACTTTATTCTTTTTCAAAATTGTTTTCAATACTTCAGGGTCTATGCTTTTCCTTATGAATTTTAGAGTAATCTTGTCTATATCTACAAAATCATACTGGGATTTTTATTGGGAATGCATTAAACCTATATATGAATTTGAGGAAAATTAACACCTGTACTATATTGAGTGTTCTAATCCACATAGCATATCTCTCCATTGAATTCAACCTCATTTGATCTTTCATCAGTGTTTTATAGTTTTCAGCATGCAAGTCCTATACATGTTTTATTACATTTACACCTAAGTATTTCTTTTTTATCTCTGAGTGTTTTTATATGGTATTGTATTTTGAATTTTGGTGCCCATGTGTTCATTACTAGTACATAGCAACACAATTAATTTTATATACTTATCTTGTATCCTGAAACTTTGCTGAGCTCATTTATTAGTTACAGGAGTTTTGGGGTAGATTTATTGGGATTTTCTACATAAACAATCATGTTTTCTGTAAATAAGGACAGTTTTATTTCTCCCTTTCTCATCTATACGATTTTAATTTCCTTTTCCTGCCATGGCACACTACATAGAACTTCCATCACTATATTGAGTAAGAGTGGTGAAAGCTGACATCCATGGCTTTTCCTGATTCAGAAACACATTTGGAAAAACTTAACACACCATTATGATAAAAACTCTCACAAAATAGAATGGAAGAAATTTCCTCAACTTGATAGGAATTGACAAAACATTATAACTACCATTATATTTAATGGCAAAAGACTGAAAATTTTCTTCCTAATTCAGTTCTGTACGTTCCTGCATCACTTATTTTGCAACTTGTTCAGTGCATAAGCATTAGGATCATATATTCTTGATAGAGTGACATATTTGATTCTTTATAATACATATCATTATAAAACATTCTTCTCTGTTTCTGGTAATTTTCTTTGATCAATCCAGCTTTCTCTAGATTAATACTTGTATGATACTTTCCCATTTTTAAATTTAATTTACCTACATCATTATACATAAAATAAATATGATATCATAAAATTAGGTTATAGTTTTTAACTCATTCTGCCAATCTCTATCTTTTAATTGAAATCATTTTTATTTATATAATTCTTACATTTGCAATCATTTTTATTTAATATAATTCTTACATTTTAGGGCCTAAATCTGCCATTTTAGATTTTTCATGTGGGGGGAGGGTTATTCTCTTTGTTTTCCTTCATGTGTTTTTGTTTCCCTGCTTTTTCTATGGATTATTTGAACTTTTTAGAACTTCATTTTTATTTTTCCATGGTGTTTTTTTGTGTGTCACTTTGTGTATATAACCTTGTAGTGGTCCTGTAGATTTTTCATTATTTATAGATTACACCACATTCTACTTGCATTGACATTTTGCCAGTTTGAGCAAAATTTAAAAATCTTATTTCCTGTTGTGTTCCTTTACCGTCCCCAATTTATAATCTAATCAATCTAAATATTTCCTCTATTTACATTTAGAACCACATCAAGTGGTGTTATGTTTTTGCTTCAACCATCAAACATAATTTAGAAAACTCAAGAAGATAAAGAAAATATATTGTACTTGCCCATGTTTTTGCTTACTATGTATTTGTTCTTTCCTCATTTACTAAGATTCTTTCTTTTATTGTGTTTCTTGTGTTTAATGAACTTTCTTTAGCTATTCTTTTAGGACTAATTCTGAGCTGGTGACAAATTCTCTTAGCTTTGGTTCATCTGATATTACATGATTTCCCCTTTCATTTCTAAAAAATAATTTCACTGGATAAAGGATTCTGGGCTGACAGTTCTGTTCTTTTCATTTCAGCAATTCAAAAATATTGTGCCACTTTCTTCTGGTCTTCATAATTTCTGATGACTAATCCATTGTCACTCATATTGTTTTTTTACTTCAGGTAGTGTCACACCTCTCTCTCCCTTTCTCTCTCTCTCTACTTTAAGGAATTTTTCTTTATCTATAATTTTAACCACTATGTATGTCAGTATAGATTTTTTTTTTATTTAACTTCTCTGGGTTTTGTTCAGCTTCTTGAATCTATAGGTTTGTGTATTTTGCCAAATTTGGGAAGTTTTTCAGCCATTATTTCTTTGAGTACTTCTTAAGCTCCATACACTTTCTTCTTCTTTCTAGGACTCTGATAACATAAATAGTGTATTCTTTCTAGGAATCTTGATAACATAAATAGTGAAATAGTAACACAGGTCCCTAAGACTTTGTTCATTTTTTAGTCTATTTTCTCAACTTTTTTTTAGATTGGGTAATTTCAATTGTTCTATTTTCAAGTTCACTGATTCTTTTATCTCTCTCACCATTCTGCTGTGGAGCAAATTCATTGAGTTTTTAAAAATTTTGGTTATTGTATTTTTAAGTTCTAGAATTTTCATTTGGTACTTCTTTATATATTCTATTTCTTTGCTGAGACTTTCCTTTTTGCTTTTCTTTTTTTGAGCCTGTTAGTGTTCACTGAAGTATATTTATTATGGCTGCTTTAAAATATTTTTCAGTATGACATCTCTGTTTGATGTTGGCATCTATTATTGCCTTTTTTCATTCAGTTTGAGATCTTCCTTATTTTTTGTATAATGTGTGACTTTTTATTGAAACCTGAACATTATGGGTATTATATCATAAAACTCTGTATCTTAATTAAACCTTCTGCTTTAGTTGGCTTTTCTGACACCCACTCAAGTAGGGGAAGGAATGACACTGACTTGTTACTGCCCAGTACAAGAAGATGTCCAGGTTCTCTACCCAGCCTTTGTTTGTACATGAGGTGGGATTCCTGGTTACTTTCAACCAGGGGTTGGAGTTCCATCACTCCAACAGGCCTCCACTGATAACTCCCTTGCTGGAAAAGGTAGAAGTGCCTGCTATTGCTTGTAGCCTAGCTTCCACTAACTCTGCAAGGAGATGGCCCTCTTATCAGTGGGTGGTGGTTTGAGGCCTGACTCTACTAGACCTCCTCTGATACCACCCCTAGAAGGGAAGAAGAGAAGCACTTTATTAATGCTGGGTAGTGGTGGAAGTTCAGACTCACCGCATGGTCTCCTCTGACACCCTGACACCCTGCAGGAATGAAAGTCCTGGTTCCTACTTGGCTTTTCTGTCAACACCTTGTTGGGGTGGGGGCTCATTAATGCCTGGCCAAGATGTTTAGTTTCCTTCTTGGTCTTTGTTGGAATGGGTAGGAAATTTTTCTGTGATTTGTGCCTGAAGCAAAATGGTTATTGTCTAAAAGTCTTCTGCCTTGCTAGGCTGCCCGTTTCCTGGTCTTTTGCCTAAACAGAAAAGATATTTGTTGGTTTTGTTCTGTTCTGTTTTGTCGTGTTTTGTTTTGTTGTCTGCTCCTGTTGGCATTTCTAGGTTGCCAGCTTTTTCAGCTTCAAATCTAGGATATTCCAGGCAAAAACACAACCTAGGAACTCATGGTGTGCCATTCCTTGGGTCGTGAAGTCCCTAGCCATCTAACTTTTTCTCTCCACCTTTCAGAGACTTTTTATATTTGTTATGTATAATATTCAGGGTTTTTTTGTTGTACTTACTGAGAGTAATAAAAAAAATACATGTACTCCGTCTTCACAAAAGTAGCAGTTTCATGATTTACATTTTAAAGGTTACACTGGTTGTTAACATGGGGAATAGACCACAACAGAAATGGAGCAAGAGAGCACATAAACTAGGCTACAGTAGATGTTATCCAAAAGAAGTTCTACAACTTATTAGCTATAATCTGGGCATGTTATTTGATCCTTTAACATATTAGTTGAATAGATTACTTGATAAATTACATCATATATTTTGCAGTGAGGCCAAGAGGATTTTTTGGAATATTAATTGTGGAGGGTGAAGAGAAGAGAAGATTTAAAGATAATTCCTGGGTTTGAAACTGAATGGTGATACTATTGACTGACAGAGATGAGAGAAATAAGAGCAAGGAGGATCAAGAGTTCAGATTTAGACATGATGAATTGTGGATGTTGATGTTGATATTGCCAAATATTTAAAAAGCAGCTGGAGCTCAGGGAAGAGATTGGGACTAGAGATGTAAATCTAGGATTAATCAGCCTACAAAATCAGGTATACAACTAGATGAGTATAGGGATCGAAGACAAGATAATCTACCAACCTGAGAATAAATGATGTTCCCTTGAGGTAGTTGTGGAAGAAGGCAACAACAGAAAGAAAATGATGAATACTGATAATAAGAAGCACTATCCACGAGAGAAGCCATGGGGTTCATATATCTCTGCACGTCTAGGGGCATCCACAAGGATCACATTGGAAGATCCTGAGCTGCTAGAAAGCCTTCAAACTTTAAGGAAGAAATATCTCCCTGTACCCATGGTCTTTTGAATAGTTCCACGCTGGACTCTGACATATCCCCCAACATTATCTGAATATCAAGTTACAGTGAGCTCAGCTCACTGCCAAGCGAGCACTTTCCTGAGGCAACTCTTAAAATATGCTAATAGAAATGTAAAAACACTAACTTTATTTTACATACATAAGACTCATACTGGATTACTCATCTTCAGCTGTGAATCCTATTTTAATGTTTAATGAAATCAAAGGCATCTGAATAAAAAGTTAAAAATTTATAATAAACAACTGCTTGTCAAGACATTACTTGTACACTATATGCCTGCAGATATAATTTTATGCAGTTTAGATGCAAAAATATAGAACTATCTTTCATATATGTAAGGACTATTTACTTTATCTCTGCTCCTCTCCTGAGATGACTTTTGGAACATTTTGTTCCCCGTAAAGCTGTGAAAATTGGTAGGAGCTAATACCCTCTTGCTGAGTCCTTAACTGCAGACTTAGCTTTTTAAAGACCCATTAAAGTTGGTTGATAAGCTATGGTAAATCAACATATTTCAAGAAGTCTCCTCACTCCTCAGTGGATAAGAGTCCTGGGAAAGATTAAATAGGCTATCACGCTATCCTTAACTATCCCTCAGAAGTAATTGCTGAGAACTTTAAAAATATTATGTCGACAAGTGAACATCTTCAAAATTAGATTTCAATATTGCACTCCAAAATAAATGAAACATTCCAGAAGAAAGTGCCTTAATTATTCAACCTTTGATAGCAACTGAATGAAAATTTGTCAGTATTGAAGTTATGAAGTGTCAGTGATTAGTTTTGGATGAGGGGAGTATAATAGACCCTGCATTCTTAAGGTCAATAAATGTCTGAAAACAAATTTGGAGTAATTATGTTTTTGTCTTGCATGGCCTTGTTACTATAACTGAATATGTCAGCTCGACACCTGAGGTCTTGCTTAGCCTCATGCTTACTGTAATATTTAAAGATTCCTGTAACTTTCACACAGGGCTATATAAAATTTGTTTACAACAAGGAAGGAAGGCATCACCTGCATTTCTAAAACTTCTCAGAAAGAGTGGAAATACTACTGATCACTTGGTTATGGTCACAGATACATGAAAGATGGGAAATAATAGAAATCTAAGCATTTTAATAGACAGGGTACATAATTGGAAGATAACTCTACTGAAGTTAAGAGAGTATAAATATCTCAATGACTTAGACAAATTATTTAAATTTTCTTTGCCCTACAACATTTGTTTATAAGCTAAAATATTTGGTACAGAAGCCCTAAAACTTTTCAGCATTAAATTTGTTTAAAAATTACATCTAACCAAAAAGCAATGGCAACAAAAGCCAAAATTGACAAATGGGATCTAATTAAATTAAACAGCTTCTGCACAGCAAAAGAAACTACCATCAGAGTGAACAGGCAACCTACAGAATGGGAAAAAATTTTTGCAATCTACTCATCTGACAAAGGGCTAATATCCAGAATCTACAATGAACTCAAACAAATTTACAAGAAAAAAACAAACCCATCAACAAGTGGGCAAAGGATATGAACAGACACTTCTCAAAAGAAGACAATTATGCAGCCAAAAAACACATGAAAAAATGCTCATCATCACTGGCCATCAGAGAAATGCAAATCAAAACCACAATGAGATACCATCTCACAGCAGTTAGAATGGCGATCATTAAAAAGTCAGGAAACAACAGGTGCTGGAGAGGATGTGGAGAAATAGGAACACTTTTACACTGTTGGTGGGAGTGTAAACTAGTTCAACCATTGTAGAAGTCAGTGTGGTGATTCCTCAGGGATCCAGAACTAGAAATACCATTTGACCCAGCCATCCCATTACTGGGTATATACCCAAAGGATTATAAATCATGCTGCTATGAAGACACATGCACACGTATGTTTATTGTGGCACTATTCACAATAGCAAAGACCTGGAACCAACCCAAATGTCCAAAAATGATAGACTGGATTAAGAAAATGTGGCACATATACACCATGGAATACTATGCAGCCATAAAAAATGATGAGTTCATGTCCTTTGTAGGGACATGGATGAAGCTGGAAACCATCATTCTCAGCAAACTATCACAAGGACAAAAAACCAAACACTGCATGATCTCACTCATAGGTGGGAACTGAACAATGAGAACACATGGACACAGGAAGGGGAACATCACACACCGGGGCCTGTTGTGGGGTGGGGGGAGGGAGGGGGGATAGCATTAGGAGATACACCTAATGTTAAATGACACGAGTAATGGGTGCAGCACACCAACATGGCACATGTATGTATATGTAACAAACCTGCACATTGTGCACATGTACCTAAAACTTAAAGTATAATTTAAAAAATTACATCTCAAATAAAGATTCTTAAGATATAAGACTTGAGATATCATTACACCTTGAATTTTGGAGGCATATAAGCATGGCATCTTAGTTTTCTTTCAATAGTGTATGTAGTAGATTTCATTTTCCAAAATGGTAGCAACAACATCTCTCATTCCATCTGCACTTCTCACAATGTGTTGTAGGCATTTCTATAACAGGCCTATAACATTCCTTTTAAGTTTTGGCTATGTGACTTACTTCAAAAGTGTTCTTCCAGTTAAAGATCAAATATATATTCTTTTACATTGTTTTCTAATAATTTTATGATTTACTTTTACATGAATATATTTAATCTATTTTTAATTCAGAGTTGTGTGAATAAAAATCATATCTTAAACTTTTATAGAATATTATCAACTTATTCTCTTAGTTACTGAATAGCCCATTTTCCCTGATGATTTAAAATGTCCACTTTATAGCATGTCAAATTCAGAAAGAGGAAAAGAGTTGTTTCTAGGCTCTTTATTATATTTCTATTAGCTATTATCTTTTTAACTAATAATGGTTAAATTCTGATTTAACTATTGTTTGTTAATGCTTTGATGTTAATATGGCAAGCTCCTACCACTATGCTTTTTAATATTGTCTTAACTATTTTTGACATTGGTTTTTACTTATAAATTTCTGTTAGTTTCTTGAGTTTGATGGAAAAAAATCATGATTATAGATTTGCTTTCTGATCATTGAAATATTTAAAATAATAAATTTTCCCACCCACAAAATTTTCCATTTCTCCATGTACGCAGTTCTTCCAAAATTTCTCAAATAACATTTTAGACATATTTTAGAATGTTAAACCTAAATTTCTTGGGCATTATTTGTTGGCCTTTTCCTTAGGCGCTTGAAAGTTTGCTGCTTTTATTGTTGTTGTGCATGATTTTTATTTAGACTTTTAATATTATATTTCCTCATTTGTAAAATTCACATATAGGCATACAGGAAAGTAATTACATTCATATGTTGATATTTTATCTAGCAACCTTGCAAATAAGCTTATGAGTGCTGATAGCTTATCAGCTGATTCTCTTGGATTGTCTATGAGACAATCGCCTTCCCCACATTACCCATTGTATTAGTCTGTTTTTACACTTCTAATAAAGACATACCTGAGACTGGGTAATTTATACAGGAAAGAGGTTTAGTGGACTCACGATTCCTTGTGGCTGGGGAGGCCTCACAATCATGGTGGAAGGCAAGGAGGAGCAAGTCACATCTTAACTCCTCTTTATAAACCCATCAGATCTCCTGAGACTTATTCACTATCACAAGAACAGCTTAGGACAGACCCATTCCCATGACTCAATTATCTCCCACGGGGTCCCTCCCACAACACATGGGAATTGTGGCAGCTACAATTCAAGATGAGATTTGGGTGGGGACACAGTCAAACCCTATCATCCACTTATATTGTCATTGCTGCTGTTACTGCTATTGCCAGGGCTGGGCTTCTGGTAAAAATGGTCCTTCTTTCTTGTCACCCTTTTCAATAAAGCTTCAAATATTATTTAGTATGACACTTATTTTTATAGACCTTTGTAAAGAATCTTTATCAAGATGATGATAACAACCTTTCAAGTCCTTGTTTGCTACGGAATGCCATTTAAGTTATATTTAAAAGGCTGTACTTATGCTTTAAGATGTTGATATTGTATATTGCATTGACAGATTTTGTTGTTGTTAAATCATTGTTACATTTTTGGGATAGACATTACATGTTCATATGACATATTTTAATTTCAATGGACTGTTTGATACGATTTTAAATGTTTATTTAAGAGTTTTGCATTCATGTTTACATGGATTTTTTTCCTGTGAGCTTACATGTTGTTTTCCCTTTATCAGATTTTAAAATATATGTATTCCCCTTTTTCATCCTTTATTGAATTAATCACTGAATTAATCAAATTTTCTTTGTTGCTTTCATTTTTACTAATAATTTCAGTGTTTTATTTTTCTTCTTCCAATTACAGTAAACTTTAATTTTTAAACAACTTCTTTATAATGATATTGTTTTTAACAACGACTAGTATTAAACTTTGTACATATTATATCCCCTCCAAAAGTCAAGAACTAGAATATGCTTTTGCTTTTATTCGCCATCCCATGTTGATACCACCTGGAAATTTTTTATTATAAGTAGTCAATTTCAGAAAAAATAATTATAGTTAATACTTATTTAGAATTTACAATAATTTTAAATAATTTAATTACTTATCATTACTTCAGGTATCTTATTTCTTCTTCTTAGGTTCATATTTGTCTTCTTGCTGGAGGGCACCTAAGAGTAAATCAACCTCTGTCTATAAGTGATGATACATTTTCTGAATCATTCATGTGCAAAACCACCCTATTCCTTTCTCACAATTGAATGATCAGATAATTACAAGTTCAAAGTTACTTACCTTCAAATGTATGTTTCTATTATCTTCTTGCATCTGGTGAATCTAGTGAATGTTTATGTAAATCCAATTTCAATCTTACCATTATTTCCTAGTAAACAATTCTCTTTCTCTGGAAGATTTTAGGGTTTGTCTTTGTCCTTGGTGTTCTAAATTTTATTTGGATAGGTGGTGCTCTGATAGCTCACTCTAAATCTTGCTGAGTGCTTGCAGAGGTATACGCATTTAACCTGAAGACATAACTTTTTCAATTCTAAGAAATAGTTGTCTAATATTTTATTTAATATAAGGTATCACTTTTCTTCCACTCTTTTCTGAGTCTTCTAGTATATGCAATTTGGAACATGGGAATTATTGTCTATATTTTGTCTTATCTTTCAAACTTTTCATCTTTTTCTTTTGTCCTGCATTCTATAAATATTTGATTATTTAGAACAATAAGCCCTCACTTAAAATTGTCAATAGGTTTTTGAAAATTTTGACTTTAAGCAAAACAATGCATAATGAAACCAATTTTACCATAGGTTAACTGACATAAACAAGAATTAAGTTCCTATGGTATATTTCTAGTTGCAAAACATCACCAAACTTCTGAATAAAGACCAAAAACAATTACAGTATTAAACATTGAAATAAATGTGAGCTATATGTGCATTTTTAAAAGATTAATAAAAACAAGATATTATTTACCCAGTTTTTGGTGAATCAGTGACAGCAGTCACAGTTGTGATGGTCAAATCAAAGAATAAACGTTTTCAAAGTAAAACTTGCAAGGAGCACCTCCTAACACTATGCAGTTCAAAAAAAATGATAACAAATATGATGGGTTCACTGAGAGCTTTGGTACTGCATTGTTTTTGTCATGTATTTGTATGGTCATAGACTTTACACATTTTTATAGCATGATAATTTTTATTCACTCATTCATTCATTTATTTTCCAACTTGCTTATTCCAGTTCAGGATCACAGGTGGCTGAAACCTATACCAAGAGCTCAGGGTACAAGACAGGAACCAGCTGTGGACAGGATGCCATCCCACTGCAGGGCACACTTACACACACACTCACAATCACTCACACTGCAGCAATGTAGACACACCAATTTACCTAATGTGCACACCTTTGGGATGTGGGAGGAAACCAGAGTACCTGGAGAAAAACCATGAAGACACATGGAGGAAATGCAAACTCCACCCAGACAGTGGCTCTGCCAGGAATCTTTTTTTTTCATCAACATAAAATACTGAATGAAATGACGCTGATCAAGAATCTGCTTATGTAAATTTACTCTTCTGTTTCAGGAGCCATTCTGCTCTCCTTAGTTCATCTGTTTTGCTGTTATGTGCATTGATCAATTTTTAATCCATATGATTTAGTTGATTAAGTTTTAGGTAGCAATATTTGCTTGCATTTCTCTGTGCTAAAATGCATCCTCATAAGAAACTCTTTTCTTTTTCTAACCACTCTGTTTCTTCGAGTTTGAGTTCTGTTTATTGCCTTTGTTATCTCTCCTTCATGGTGATAAATTTCCCTACATACTTGGTGAATTTTTATTATGTACTCCTTTTTAAAGGGAGTTTGTCTTATTAGAATGGCTGCTTAGTACTTCATTGTTTCTGTTTGCTCTATTGCAATCCTGCTTTTGCCCCGGGAATGAACTTTAATGCTGACTGGCAGAACAGCTAATAGAAAGATAAACTATTCTGTGGTTATTATGCTGCTATTTTTAGCCTTCTGGATAATTTAAGTGCACTTTGGCCTTAAAATTTAAATAAACAGGGAGAAAAGAATGTTTACTCTGCCTTCAAGACAAAAACAAATAATTTCTTGGAGAACTTTGAGTAGATTATTATCACCACCAGATTCCAGTATAAAAGTGACAGCCCAAAAAAAAAAAAAAAAAGAATTCCTGCTTTAAAAGGGAAAAAACATGATGGGGTTATTTCACTTTAGAATGGAGGTTTGTATTTCAAGATATTGTTTTCTCTAGGCCATTCCATGAAAAGGAGTTCGGTAGGAATGATGTCTATGACATTCAGAACATTAGCTTCTGGCAGAATCACAAGTAGAAAAGTCATTTCAACATAAATTATTTTAAAATTAAATGAGATTCAACTTTGCAAGAGATACTGGATTAAGCGGCTTAACTTCTATGAATTCCCAAGACTTATTTAGAAACTGAGATTGATCACAGTAACCTATATTTCACAGGGTTTTTATGAGAACTGACTGGGTAAATATATCTGATTTATAAACTGTAAAATCTTATAAAAAGTCATTTGTCACAATTAGCTCTTGCTATGTAACAGACTACCCATATTTTTAAATATTAAGTGGATTTATAACTTAAAAAATAAAATTTTTAAGTTTGCTTTTGCTTTTGTATGTAATCATGTCTTTCTATCTTATCTCTATTTCATACAGAGAAGAAGAAGAATCTTTTGATATCCTTAATATCCCAATCCAAAGTTTCATGTATAAATCGCGTCTCCCCCTTGTGCTTGGACATAAGAATCTCCCGGGTTGCTCGTTACATAAATAATGTTTTCTAGGATTTTTTTTTAAGAGATTCAGATTCACGAGAGACCCAGACAAATGTGTTTTTAAAAAGCACCCAAAGTAAAACCTATGATCTGAAATATTTGGCAAGGACTGGTTTAAAGTATGAGCTATAAATGGTTCTCTAACAAGAGTCGCAAATTCATCCAGTGCTAATGACAAAAGGTAAAATGTTATAATCCAGGAACAAACTGCCCAAAATGTGTCTAAAGTCACCTGTTTTCATATTATCATCCCAAGGAAAAATAAGTTAAAGTGCTTAGAAGCAACCATTTTCTCTAGTCTGTGTTCCATGTGTGTTATCCCAAATAGAAGAGATTAAATTCTACTTGCTAAGACTTCCAAATAAGAAACAATTCTCTTCTTTGTGATAATCCATCCTGATTTTTTTCACACTGTCCAAAAGCTCTCTTTCACATCTGGGTTAAAAAACATATAACTTGATGGTTAATATATTATCATTGCCACTGAAATACAAAGAACTTTATCTTAAATCTTAAGTAAGCTCATGCAGTGTCCCCCAAATTATAAGCTACCTTTCACTATTCAAAAGCTTCTTTCTTGCTATGAGGGGCCAAACATTTCAGAGAAAATTAAAGAAAAAAAAACTTGATACCCCTACATACACCTAAACACCTCTGAAATGTGCTGCCAGCAATACATGTGCAGAGGTAAGAAGGATGTTTTCCAAGAAACACATGATTAGCGTGAACGCATCATGTTCAGACCTTTAGGAAAACAGAATAGCCAGGAGGGCCTAGAAAAAATATACAGCTGTTTCCAAGATGTTTTTATTTACAATTTCATGGACAGTGCACTTTGCTAAAAAATATCTGTAGAAGGTACACATTCATCTGCAAGATTGCCTTACGGTCCCGTCTGCAGCAGTGATCACTAATGAATATGCAATACATTTTTTAAGGTTCAGTAGTTTTCAGATAGGGTGGTGACAACCTTGACTGCATTTGCTCTCAAGGACTTACTCAGAGGGCTAGAGATTCTGATATGGTGCCAGTCTTACTAGCATAGGAAAAAAACTGCCTTGATCGTGCCCTTCTGTGCTGAAAATCCTGGCAGTTGTATTCAGATCCTTTCTCAATAGCAGCCTCTTCAATGGCTTGGTGTGAAACAGACATTCTAAGAATGCCTGTTTAAATCTTAGATGATGAAAAGAAGTAGACTACCTTGTCATGAAGACTTGTGGAAACAGTGGGCAACATTGAAATTAAAAATATTCCTGGGTATGCACAGATGAAATTCCATTGTGTGATTTTGGTTACTGCACTTTTGGTCTCTATTTTAGTTGAAAAACCTTTATACAGTGAGATATATAGAAATTCACCATATGCACATTGAAAGATTCATGATTGTGGCCAGTATAGCTTAATCATCTTTTAAAACTGTTTTGTATTATGACACATAATGCACATATGAAAAGTACAAAAATTATAAGGGTACAGCTCAATGACTTACAACAAAGCAAAGTCCTCTGGAACTGTCATCAGGACAACAAAGACAGTAATTGCTAACCATACAGGCTCAGCCCCAGCCATTTCCCTTTCCCATCTCCTCCAGAGAAACCACTATCCTGCCTTCTAACACTGTATCTTAGTTTTGACTATTTGGTAAAACTTAATATCAATGAAAATATACAGTATATACATTTATTTGTATCTGACCTCCCCACACACACACATTGTAATTGTGATATTCAGCCTTGTCATTGGGTATGATGGTAGTTTCTTCATTTCTGTATGGCATTTCATTATATAACTGTCATATTTATTCATCTATTTTGCTAGATGGACATTTATGTTTTTCCTGTTTGGGGCTATTATGAATAGTGATGTTCTGAATGTCTATTTACATGTCTTTTGAGGCAAATATATACATTTTCTGCTGGATATACCTAGAAGTAAAAATGATGAATTATACTGTATGCAAAATGTCTGCTTTAAAAGATAGTGCTAAGTATTTTTCCAGAGTGGTTTCACCAATTTATATTCCTATCAGTAGTGTAGGAAGACTCCTATAATCTGCACATTCTCAGCAAACCATAACTAATGTTGCCTTTTGAAATTTAGTCATTTTGATGAGTGTGTAGTGGTACCTAACTTGCCTTTCTCTTATTACCAATGAGGTTAGGTTCCTTTTAATATATTCATGTGGTAATTATTTGGATATTTTCTTCTGTGAACTTCCTATTCAAATATCATGCCGATTTTTCTATTATGTTGTCTGCCTTTTTCTTATTGATTTGTAGATTTTAAAAATTCTAGTTATGCATTATTTGTTAGTTACATATATTTAGAAATACCTTCACTCTCTGGCTTAACTTTTCACTGGGTATGCACAGATGCATACCTAGACTAAAGATACATAAATATAATCTATCCCTCTGATTACTTCTCTTTTCTTCAATTTCTCCCAGCACTCTTGCTTGTAGAGCTCTGGAATTTTCTATGTAATGGTCTTGCCCATTTTTACAATTGTTCCAAAAATATTTGTATGGTTTTTTTGGTTTTGTTTTTGTTTTTGAGAGAGTTTCACCCTTCCACCCAGGCTGGAGTGCAATGGTACAATCTCGGCTCACTGCAACCTCTGCCTCCCAGGCTTAGGTAATCCTTCCACCTCAGCCTCCCGAGTAGCTGGGACTACAGGAGTATTCCATCACCCCCAACTAATTTTTGTATTTTTTATAGAGAAAGGGTTTCGCCATGTTGTTCATGCTGGTCTCGAACCACTGAGGTCAAGTAGTCCACCAACCTCAGCCTACCAAAGTGCTAGAATTACAGGCGTGAGCCACCGCATGGGGCCAATATTTGACTTTTTTTTATGCTAAGGTATGTGGTAACTGATTTACTTTATTGTTTTCTATTATATTATTATATAATATATCTAGCAACTTTGCTATATGCATTTATAAATTCTAGTAATTTATCTTATGAATTTTCTACATAAATAATCCTACAATCTACAAATAGTGACAGTTTTATTTCTTTTCCAATATTTACATTTTATTTTTATATTGTCTTATTTCACTAACAAGGACCTGTAGATTGTAACAGACATATTTTTATACCAGTCATTTTAAAATGAAAAAATTTCAAAAATTTCACTAGTAAGTTCATGTAGGATTTTTAAGATATACTTTACAAATAAACGTTTTATTTTACTAAATGCTTTTATAGAAATCATTGAGATGATTGTTCATGTTTTTTGTTTTGTTAGTGTAGTGCATTATATTAGTTCTTTTTTCACTAATGTACTTTTAACAGTATTATTGAGACATAATGTACATACCATAAAATTTACCTATTTCAAGTTTACAGTTCAATGGGTTTTAGTATATTTATAGAATTGTACAACCATTGCCATAATATAATTTTGGAACATTTTTATCACACCAAAAAGAAAACTCATACCCATTAGTATTCACTCCTATCCCTCACCTTGGGTGAGGAACACACAGCCAAACCATATCAGTTACCTTTAAATTTGTAAGCCAAATTTAATTCAAATTTAATTCAATTTTTTTCCAGTAAATTCTACAACATTTCTATTCTTCCTACCCTGACAACATTCGTAGCATATTTGATCTATCTTCAATAACAGACACATCTTGTTGTTTTAATTGAATTTAATTTATTCTCTTTTAAAAACTAACTCAAAAATTACTTATTACTTTCTATATTTCACTATCAGACTATGCCTTTCTCCTACAGAAGTCAACAACTTCCTATATATGTATCTTGCTTTTTACATAACGACTAAAATCCTAAATTCCAAAGAGAAAAAAACCTATTAGGCGATTTTCACCTCACTTTACAGACACCTTCAAGTATATGTACCAGACGTGAAACCCAATACAAAACAATTGTTCAAAGTTGAGCATAATTTCTACCATTCTCAAAGTCTGAGCACATGGATGCTCTGAGAAAAATGTTTCATTGAACATTTTAAGGCATGCAGTAATAATAATAGCTGATGCTTACATAGGGCATATCTAGTGCCAGCCACTGTTTTATTGTCCTAATAAATAAATACATATATAATGTTAATCTTCACAACAACCCTACAAATAGATACCACTGTTGTATTATTCCCATTATACAGATTAATAAATCAGCACAGGGCATTTAAGTAAATTGCCCAAGGTCACTAGTTTTTGTTTTTTGTTGTTGTTTTGTTTTGTTTTCTTGAGACGGAGTTTCACTCTGTCACCCATCTGGAGTACAGTGGAGCAATCTCGGCTCACTGCAACTTCCACCTCGCGGGTTCAAGCAATTCTCCTGCCTCAGCCTCCTGAGTAGCTGGGATTATAGGCATGTGCCACAATGCCCGGCTAATTTTTGTATTTTTAGTAGAGACAGGGTTTCGCCATGTTGGCCAGGCTAGTCTCGAACTCCTGACCTCAGGTGATCCACCTGCCTTGGCCTCCCAAAGTGCTGGGATTATAGGCGTGAGCCACCACTCTCAGCCAAGGTCACTAGTTTGTAAGTGACAGAGATGAATCTGAACCTAGGCAATATGGCTCCAAAATCCATGTCCTTAAACTACCCTCTGGCACATTACCTAAAGAATGACTCACAAAAGTCTATGCCCACCTATAACTTATATCAATCATTAGCAGCACACTTTTGAAACAGGAATGTGTGAATATTAGTATTAGTATTTCTCACAATGGCTTGTAATGGCTAACTGAAACAAAACAGAATCAAGGAGCTAAGGCCAATCTTTAAGAAGCATTTTAATGTTAAAACTTTAGTATTGAGCCTTTGCATTATATTTAGAAATTTCTTTGTTTAGACCTTCACACATTAAATTCAATTAATGTTAAATTAAATGTTGTATTTATAAATTCCTTTTTTAGACCTCCAAACATTACATTGCCCCCAAAACACAGCTTTTGTAATCAAGAAGCTACAAAAATAAATGCCTTGGATTTGGCAAGTTTAACTGTAACAAATAGTAAGAACAATAAAAATCTAGGTCTATGTCTACCTGCAACTGCTCAGGGATCATGCACATATTACTCCAATATGGCTACCTGAATATTCCCTGTCACAGGTAATGATCCTCCCCAAAGCAGTATGGCCCCTGATTTCCAGGCAAATTTTCGCATGCACCACAGTGAAGAAATGGGTTTCTCTGTGGTAAGAGAGTAAAGCAAATGGCAGTGCTAAGTAGGAGACACAAGTACTCAAATAACCCTGACTCCAGCTTGGATTGACATCCTTACTCTTTATGCACTAATGTGAAATTCAACTCAGGCTCAGCTACCTCCATGGGGAGCCTCCAACTACGTGATTTCCTCGAATTCTCTCTACTCCCTGGGGTCCATTCAGCTCTCTGATATTATATCAGTCTTATAATTTCAGACCCACAGAGGCCCACGAAGATCAAGCACTAGCAAAGAAGATAGGAATCTTGAGAAAACATACACTTGAGCTCCTCTAGGTAAAAGAACAGAAAATGAGCAAAAGGAGTAGGTTCAGTTGTACAGAGCAATGTGCGTGTGAGAGGTTGTGACTCTCTCTGTATGAATACCTTTTTCTTTTTTAGCCTTCGGATTTAATACAGATAGCACCTTTTCTGGCCAATGTACTTGAAAAAAAAATTTGTGCAATGATTTAAAATAATTTCCAGAAGGGTATATCACCCTAAAATATTCAATGAGGCTTATTTCCTTTCTTATAGAACAATAAATCTCTATTGTACATACAATAGGATATTTCAGATACATTTTGTTGCATGTTTGGCACCCTTTTGAATATTCATATTGCCCAACAAGCCATTTATTAGAGCTTTCATAAGAGCACTTTTTAATCTTCTATACAAAAGCGTAAATTCCAAGTCTTCAATATGAATTCACTAAAGCTGTATTCAAATAGAGTAATTATCCTTAAGTGTATATGTTTAGAATATATCTAAGATACTTATGTATTAAATCTGGTAGTTCTGATTGCGTTTATTTTGATAGTGAGTTATGAATCCCCTACACTTAAGAGGAAATGTGTTTTCAAGCCCCAAAAGTAGAACTCTTTTAGAAACATATTGAAAATAAAGTCCTATTTCCCTGTCCATTCCAGTATACAGTATATTGTAAAGTAAATACTTCAAAGTGGTTTGACTTCATAATGGTAATTGCTTAAAAACTGCCCCAAAGTTAGGCCTGGCACTGCAGATTTTGTCTGGGGGCCAATTAGTATGGCTCTGTTAATACTCTAAAACACTGTTATGGAACTGCCAACCTTATGGTAGGTATATAATTGAAATATTGCAAATAAAGTATCAAGTTGATATTCAGTTTCTCTTATAAAATTCAATGATGGCTATTGGCCAACAGATTTTCAAAACACATATGCAACAAATTTGGTATAAATGCTTAGGGACTGCAATTAAAACTACTATTGAATTCCTTATAATCCAACATTTTATTATACAGTTGCATTTGGTGACTAGCTTATTATTAGTTACATCAAAAAGTAAGATAGCCTTCCGTAACTGAGTTACATACGATATATTATACTTATTTTTCAAGGCCTTTTGTACACTTAGTTACCCAGTGATTCACTGGTAGACATTTATACTATTGTTTATAGAGGAAGTAGAATTTAAAACAGTACATCCAAAGAAGAAAACTGGGAATACCAAGAACACCATGATGTCAGAAGTCTACTCACCCACTTCAAATTCTGGCCAATGACTAGGGTGTGTCTTACCACCTTCCCCAGCACTCTCTGACATAGAACAAAGGCAAAAGAAACAAGATTTCTGGGGAAACAGCATCCTATGCAACTGAGGTTTGCCTCTTCTCCTAATATCTCTAATTCGTCTGTTCTAAAGGTGAAAAGATCAAATAATATATGTGCATAAAAAGCATCCAAGTAATACCAGTAAGTCAGGGGCACTCTTTAACTTATACTGTGTGTAATCAAAGTTCATAGTCTTCAAATTCTGGAGAATCATTTTAGATAATTAGTATGGCCATGTGCTATAAACTGTCACTTACATAAAGAAAGGGCATTAATGGCTGGGCGTGGTGGCTCACGCCTGTAATCCCAACACTTTGGGAGGCCAAGGCAGGCCGATCACCTAAGGTTGGGAGCCTGAGACCAGCCTAACCAACATGGAGAAACATCGTCTGTACTAAAAATACAAAATTAGCCAGGCGTGGTAGTGCATGCCTGTAATCCCAGCTACTTGGGAGGCTGAGGCAGGAGAATTGCTTGAACCCGGGAGGCGGAGGTTGCAGTGAACCGAGATCATGCCATTGCACTCCAGCCTGGGCAACAGAGCCAAACTCCATCTCAAAAAAAAAAAAAAAAAAAGCATTAACCTGAGTTTGTTTTACTTTTCCTTGGAAATTATCTTTCTCTGTAGAAGAAGTGCTTGAAATCAAGTTATCATTTCTTCTTCTCCAAAAAGTCCATCAAGAAGAATTTAGTCAGCATTGAACATATTCTAGTTACTATGGAAGTTTTAAGAAAAAGTAAAATGTGTGATCTCTACCACTAAAAAATCACATCTGATTGGTTATAAAAACACATGCAAAAGCAACTAAAACAAACAAAAAGCCCCAAAGCAACTGGAAAATAATTAAAGTCAGTGTAATAGGACACCCTAGAATGTTTTCAAGCTATACTTGCTATGGGAGTTTAGCAAGCAATGGAAGAGTTTGGTCCCAGGCTGTTACTTAAGAAAGTATAGCTGTTGGATTGATTGGTGAAGAGGAAAGTAGATATTCTATGTGGAAGGGAGATAGTTTGGGAAATGGCATAGCATAGGAATGATTATTCAGAAGAGAGGCGCTAACCAAAGTGATTGACAGTGAAAATAAAATGTTTAGGATAGTTTCTACTGGATTGAGAGTGTTAAATGTCACATGAGAATCTGTAGAAACAAACAAACCACCAAAAGGATTGAAATAAGAAAATGATGAGCTATAAGCATTGTCGTAGATTAATCTGGAGGCCGGGGTAAAGAAGGGTATTAAGAAACTAATGATTACTTTGGGGACTTTAAATGTATACAACATACTGGAAAAGAAGACAGGCTCTGGAATGAATGTGGCTGGGCTGGACTCCCAGTTCTTCCACTTATCAGCTCTGTAATCTTGGACAAACTTTTGGAATTCCGGTGCTACAATTTTCCCATCTAAAATTTTGACATAATAAAGTACCTAATTCACTGGGTAATTATGAAAGTCAAATGGGTTAATACATCTTGGTATAAAGTCTTGGTATAAATCTAGCCCATCATAACCACTCAATAAAATATTACTATCATTAAGAATTATATGTACATGTTGCATATTCACATAAACACAATTTTATGTTAATTCTCCTATATCTAAAAAGTATTATCTTCAGGACAGAGATTTTGAAGTTTTCAAAACTATATTCACAGCAGTTTGCAAGTTGTAAAGCAGAGTATAGGTATGCAATAAATATTACCTGAAGAAAAAAAGCCCTATAGAGAGGGAAGGAAGGGTAGATACTGGACATTGATTATTAAGCTATCAAGAGAAAAGTTCATGAAGGGAACAAGATTGCATCAACTCTATTCTAGCCTCCTCATAGAGAAATGCATTGAGCCAATGTCTACAATGTGTTCCAAGGAAATACATGAAAAATTCTTGAAATTAGGCACAAGAGCCAACTGACAACTTAATCATGATAGGTGTCCCCAAACAGATGTGGAATCACAGAAAATTTAAGAGGAGTTAGTAAAACTGAAGTGATTAGGAAGAGGTCTCTTCAAAGAGAAAGAAGACTTGAATCTTCCAAAAAAAACATGTAAAAGCAGAGACACAGGGGTTTGCATGTGAGAAAAGGGAGTATTGGGGACAGCTAATAAGAGAATAGAAGCTTCACCTTCTGCTCCAAAAGGTTAGAGCTGTGCTCTGTGTGACCCATATATTTCAGACCAAATGTGATCAAATAGCATGTAGCTATGCATGCTTCTAGATTAACAAGCCACCAGTGTGTCCTAGAAAGGTAGGAAGCAGACCTCTTGGGTGAAAACTATAAGAACATGAGAATCAGTAGAAACAGTACAGATGAGAAGGATCCCACCTCTGCAAGGATCTTTGTACTCATGATCGTACTATTCAAACCTTTTGTTGCTGGAATTAGGAGAAAGCAATTCAAAATACAAAAATCTTGGCAGCATAGCTGAGAAGAAAGGCTGGCTAGCCTGAAGTGTCATTGGCTTAAATTTAGTAGATTTTTTTTTTTTTTTTTACTTCTGATTCAACTTCTTAGAACTTATGCTGAGTTCTTGCAAGATGTAATGCATGAAAACAACAACAAAAAAAGGGGAATGATTCAGTGTAACAGAACTTTGCACTAAAATCACAAAGTAAAAACAATCCCTAAAAATGTTTAATATTGAAATTCTATTGCAGTGTTTATTAGCCCAGAGATTACTTACACATACAATGTGAAAAATATTTAATGAGATTATGTTGAAAATGTATGACTGAGCTAGCAATCTAATCATTACATAGATGCTACAAATTATGACCTCTTGGGCACTGACTGTATTTTTGATTGTTCCCCTAAAGAGGAAAAAGGCTCTCGTGGTTAGGAGCTGGTTGAGAAGAGAGAGGTTTGAACATATCCTTATTTAATCCTCCAATGTCATTTCCTCAGTGGGGCTCTCCCAAACACCCCTAGAGAAAATAGGCAGCGAGCACTCATTCCATATCACAGAATGTATCTATGCATAAATTTATCAAGTTTAATTATTTTTTTACTGGATTGTTTTCTTTTTCATTAAAGGCAATGTAAGGTATATGAGACGGGGGTAGTAGCATTTTGAGAGGCAGTACAGCAAATTGATTAAAAGCACAGACTCGAGGGCTAAACACACTGAGTAGGAATGCTGGCTCTGCCATGTATTCGATTTATACTCTTGGGCATACTGCTTCACATCTCTGTGTGTACTGACTTGTAAAATAAAGTTAATAATAGGATTAATACATCCTAAAATACATACCATAAGATCTGTTTAGTAGATAATAATCACTACAGATGGTCCCCAACTTATGATGGTTCAACTTATGATTTTTCTACTTTATGATGGGACAAAATAGATACTCATTCAGTAAAATGAATTTTGGATTTTGAATTTTCCCTGTCCAGTGATGCAGTATAATACTGTTACATGAGATATTCAACACCTTATTATAAAATAGGCTTTGCGTTAGATGATTTTGCTCAACTGGAGGCTAATGTAAATATTCTGAGAACTTTTAATACAAGCTAGGCTAAGCTATGATGTTTGATAGATTAGGTGTATTAAATACATTTTCGACTTACAATATTTCTACTTATGATGGGTTGATCGAAATGAAACCCCATCATAAATTGAGGAACATCTGTATATGAACATTAGCTTTTATTATTAATGTTTACCACTTTCTTCAATGCCTAGAATAGCAAATGAATGAATATTCAACACACCTATACACACATATACCCTGCATATCCTACTGCCTAATGAAATGTAGAATATTCATAATCAGGTGTTCCTTTATAAATAATTAAAACTGCTCAAAGTACCTGTCTATGTCAACTATATACATGGAGCATTACATACTATCTTTAAGCTGTATTTGGCACTATGGGGATCAGTGCTTCCACTGAATTCACTGCTTCTCAACCTATGGGCCTCAGAGTTACTGCAAAACATCTTCAAATCCATAGTGCATCAAATATAGTTAATTGATGGAATAAATTTATCTTGCATCTATTTTTCAAATATATGTAATTTTAAGTAATAAAGTATAAATGCATTTAAAACTACTACTAAGTTTTAAAATAAAAGTCCCAATGGGACCTTTATTGTTTTGTAGTTCCTCAGCAACTGATTCAAAGAACGCAACTAGAATCTCTTGGGATTATGTAGAGTTTGACATTTAAAAGAAACCTTGTAGGGGGGAGGAGCCAACATGGCCGAATAGGAACAGCTCCGGTCTACAGCTCCCAGCGTGAGCGTCGCAGAAGACGGGTGATTTCTGCATTTCCATCTGAGGTACCGGGTTCATCTCACTAGGGAGTGCCAGACAGTGGGCGCAGGCCAGTGGGTGTGCGCACCGTGCGCGAGCCGAAGCAGGGCGAGGCATTGCCTCACCTGGGAAGCGCAAGGGGTCAGGGAGTTCCCTTTCCGAGTCAAAGAAAGGGGTGATGGACGCACCTGGAAAATCGGGTCACTCCCACCCGAATACTGCGCTTTTCAGACCGGCTTAAAAAACGGTGCACCACGAGACTATATCCCACACCTGGCTCGGAGGGTCCTACGCCCACAGAATCTCACTGATTGCTAGCACAGCAGTCTGAGATCAAACTGCAAGTCGGCAGCGAGGCTGGGGGAGGGGAGCCCGCCATTGCCCAGGCTTGCTTAGGTAAACAAAGCAGCCGGGAAGCTCGAACTGGGTGGAGCCCACCACAGCTCAAGGAGGCCTGCCTGCCTCTGTAGGCTCCACCTCTGGGGGCAGGGCACAGACAAACAAAAAGACAGCAGTAACCTCTGCAGACTTAAATGTCCCTGTCTGACAGCTTTGAAGAGAGCAGTGGTTCTCCCAGCACGCAGCTGGAGATCTGAGAATGGGCAGACTGCCTCCTCAAGTGGGTCCCTGATCCCTGACCCCCGGGCAGCCTAACTGGGAGGCGCCCCCCAGCAGGGGCACACTGACACCTCACACGGCAGGGTATTCCAACAGACCTGCAGCTGAGGGTCCTGTCTGTTAGAAGGAAAACTAACAAACAGAAAGGACATCCACACCAAAAACCCATCTGTACATCACCATCATCAAAGACCAAAAGTAGATAAAACCACAAAGATGGGGAAAAAACAGAACAGAAAAACTGGAAACTCTAAAAAGCAGAGCGCCTCTCCTCCTCCAAAGGAATGCAGTTCCTCACCAGCAACGGAACAAAGCTGGATGGAGAATGACTTTGACGAGCTGAGAGAAGAAGGTTTCAGATGATCAAATTACTCTGAGCTACGGGAGGACATTCAAACCAAAGGCAAAGAAGTTGAAAACTTTGAAAAAAATTTAGAAGAATGTATAACTAGAATAACCAATACAGAGAAGTGCTTAAAGGAGCTGATGGAGCTGAAAACCAAGGCTCGAGAACTACGTGAAGAATACAGAAGCCTCAGGAGCCGATGCGATCAACTGGAAGAAAGGGTATCAGCAATGGAAGATGAAATGAATGAAATGAAGCGAGAAGGGACGTTTAGAGAAAAAAGAATAAAAAGAAATGAGCAAAGCCTCAAAGAAATATGGGACTATGTGAAAAGACCAAATCTACGTCTGATTGGTGTACCTGAAAGTGATGCGGAGAATGGAACCAAGTTGGAAAACACTCTGCAGGATATTATCCAGGAGAACTTCCCCAATCTAGCAAGGCAGGCCAATGTTCAGATTCAGGAAATACAGAGAACGCCACAAAGATACTCCTCGAGAAGAGCAACACCAAGATACATAATTGTCAGATTCACCGAAGTTGAAATGAAGGAAAAAATGTTAAGGGCAGCCAGAGAGAAAGGTCGGGTTACCCTCAAAGGGAAGCCCATCAGACTAACAGCGGATCTCTCGGCAGAAACTCTACAAGCCAGAAGAGAGTGGGGGCCAATATTCAACATTCTTAAAGAAAAGAATTTTCAACACAGAATTTCATATCCAGCCAAACTAAGCTTCATAAGTGAAGGAGAAATAAAATACTTTACAGACAAGCAAATGCTGAGAGATTTTGTCACCACCAGGCCTGCCCTAAAAGAGCTCCTGAAGGAAGCGCTAAACCTGGAAAGGAACAACCGGTACCAGCCGCTGCAAAATCATGCCAAAATGTAAAGACCATCAAGACTAGGAAGAAACTGCATCAACTAACGAGCAAAATAACCAGCTAACATCATAATGACAGGATCAAATTCACACATAACAATATTAACTTTAAATGTAAATGGACTAAATTCTCCAATTAAAAGACACAGACTGGCAAGTTGGATAAAGAGTCAAGACCCATCAGTGTGCTGTATTCAGGAAACCCATCTCATGTGCAGAGACACACATAGGCTCAAAATAAAAGGATGGAGGAAGATCTACCAAGCAAATGGAAAACAAAAAAAGGCAGGGGTTGCAATCCTAGTCTCTGATAAAACAGACTTTAAACCAACAAAGATCAAAAGAGACAAAGAAGGCCATTACATAATGGTAAAGGGATCAATTCAACAAGAGGAGCTAACTATCATAAATATATATGCACCCAATACAGGAGCACCCAGATTCATAAAGCAAGTCCTGAGTGACCTACAAAGAGACTTAGACTCCCACACATTAATAATGGGAGACTTTAACACCCCACTGTCAACATTAGACAGATCAACGAGACAGAAAGTCAACAAGGATACCCAGGAATTGAACTCAGCTCTGCACCAAGCGGACCTAATAGACATCTACAGAACTCTCCACTCCAAATCAACAGAATATACATTTTTTTCAGCACCACACCACACCTATTCCAAAATTGACCACATAGTTGGAAGTAAAGCTCTCCTCAGCAAATGTAAAAGAACAGAAATTATAACAAACTATCTCTCAGACCACAGTGCAATCAAACTAGAACTCAGGATTAAGAATCTCACTCAAAGCCGCTCAACTACATGGAAACTGAACAACCTGCTCCTGAATGACTACTGGGTACATAACGAAATGAAGGCAGAAATAAAGATGTTCTTTGAAACCAAAGAGAACAAAGACACAACATACCAGAATCTCTGGGACTCATTCAAAGCAGTGTGTAGAGGGAAATTTATAGCACTAAATGCCCACAAGAGAAAGCAGGAAAGATCCAAAATTGACACCCTAACATCACAATTAAAAGAACTAGAAAAGCAAGAGCAAACACATTCAAAAAGCTAGCAGAAGGCAAGAAATAACTAAAATCAGAGCAGAACTGAAGGAAATAGAGACACAAAAAACCCTTCAAAAAATCAATGAATCCAGGAGCTGGTTTTTTGAAAGGATCAACAAAATTGATAGACCGCTAGCAAGACTAATAAAGAAAAAAAGAGAGGAGAATCAAATAGACACAATAAAAAATGATAAAGGGGATATCACCACCGATCCCACAGAAATACAAACTACCATCAGAGAATACTACAAACACCTCTACGCAAATAAACTAGAAAATCTAGAAGAAATGGATACATTCCTTGACACATACACTCTCCCAAGACTAAACCAGGAAGAAGTTGAATCTCTGAATAGACCAATAACAGGAGCTGAAATTGTGGCAATAATCAATAGTTTACCAACCAAAAAGAGTCCAGGACCAGATGGATTCACAGCCGAATTCTACCAGAGGTACAAGGAGGAACTGGTACCATTCCTTCTGAAACTATTCCAATCAATAGAAAAAGAGGGAATCCTCCCTAACTCATTTTATGAGGGCAGCATCATTCTGATACCAAAGCCGGGCAGAGACACAACCAAAAAAGAGAATTTTAGACCAATATCCTTGATGAACATTGATGCAAAAATCCTCAATAAAATACTGGCAAACCGAATCCAGCAGCACATCAAAAAGCTTATCCACCATGATCAAGTGGGCTTCATCCCTGGGATGCAAGGCTGGTTCAATATACGCAAATCAATAAATGTAATCCAGCATATAAACAGAACCAAAGACAAAAACCACATGATTATCTCAATAGATGCAGAAAAAGCCTTTGACAAAATTCAACAACCCTTCATGCTAAAAACTCTCAATAAATTAGGTATTGATGGGACGTATTTCAAAATAATAAGAGCTATCTATGACAAACCCACAGCCAATATCATACTGAATGGGCAAAAACTGGAAGCATTCCCTTTGAAAACTGGCACAAGACAGGGATGCCCTCTCTCACCGCTCCTATTCAACATAGTGTTGGAAGTTCTGGCCAGGGCAATCAGGCAGGAGAAGGAAATAAAGGGTATTCAATTAGGAAAAGAGGAAGTCAAATTGTCCCTGTTTGCAGATGACATGATTGTTTATCTAGAAAACCCCATCGTCTCAGCCCAAAATCTCCTTAAGCTGATAAGCAACTTCAGCAAAGTCTCAGGATAAAAAATCAATGTACAACAATCACAAGCATTCTTATACACCAACAACCGACAAACAGAGAGCCAAATCATCAGTGAACTCCCATTCACAATTGCTTCAAAGAGAATAAAATACCTAGGAATCCAACTTACAAGGGATGTGAAGGACCTCTTCAAGGAGAACTACAAACCACTGCTCAAGGAAATAAAAGACGATACAAACAAATGGAAGAACATTCCATGCTCATGGGTAGGAAGAATCAATATCCTGAAAATGGCCATACTGCCCAAGGTAATTTACAGATTCAATGCCATCCCCATCAAGCTACCAATGACTTTCTTCACAGAATTGGAAAAAACTACTTTAAAGTTCATATGGAACCAAAAAAGAGCCCGCATCACCAAGTCAATCCTCAGCCAAAAGAACAAAGCTGGAGGCATCACACTACCTGACTTCAAACTATACTACAAGGCTACAGTAACCAAAACAGCATGGTACTGGTACCAAAACAGAGATATAGATCAATGGAACAGAACAGAGCCCTCAGAAATAACGCCGCATACCTACAACTATCTGATCTTTGACAAACCTGAGAAAAACAAGCAATGGGGAAAGGATTCCCTATTTAATAAATGGTGCTGGGAAAACTGGCTAGCCATATGTAGAAAGCTGAAACTGGATCCCTTCCTTACACCTTATACAAAAATCAATTCAAGATGGATTAAAGATTTAAATGTTAGACCTAAAACCATAAAAACCCTAGAAGAAAACCTAGGCATTACCATTCAGGACATAGGCGTGGGCAAGGACTTCATGTCCAAAACACCAAAAGCAATGGCAACAAAAGCCAAAATTGACAAATGGGATCTAATTAAACTAAAGAGCTTCTGCACAGCAAAAGAAACTACCATCAGAGTGAACAGGCAACCTACAACATGGGAGAAAATTTTCACAACCTACTCATCTGACAAAGGGCTAATATCCAGAATCTACAATGAACTCAAACAAATTTACAAGAAAAAAACAAACAACCCCATCAAAAAGTGGGCGAAGGACATGAAAAGACATTTCTCAAAAGAAGACATTTATGCAGCCAAAAAATACATGAAAAAATGCTCATCATCACTGGCCATCAGAGAAATGCAAATCAAAACCACTATGAGATACCATCTCACACCAGTTAGAATGGCAATCATTAAAAAGTCAGGAAACAACAGGTGCTGGAGAGGATGTGGAGAAATAGGAACACTTTTACACTGTTGGTGGGACTGTAAACTAGTTCAACCATTGTGGAAGTCAGTGTGGCGATTCCTCAGGGATCTAGAACTAGAAATACCATTTGACCCAGCCATCCCATTACTGGGTATATACCCAAATGACTATAAATCATGCTGCTATAAAGACACATGCACACGTATGTTTATTGCGGCATTATTCACAATAGCAAAGACTTGGAAGCAACCCAAATGTCCAACAATGATAGACTGGATTAAGAAAATGTGGCACATATACACCATGGAATACTATGCAGCCATAAAAAATGATGAGTTCATGTCCTTTGTAGGGACATGGATGAAATTGGAAACCATCATTGTCAGTAAACTATCGCAAGAACAAAAAACCAAACACTGCATATTCTCACTCATAGGTGGGAATTGAACAATGAGATCACATGGTCACAGGAAGGGGAATATCACACTCTGGGGACTGTGGTGGGGTGGGGGGAGGGGGGAGGGGTAGCATTGGGAGATACACCTAATGCTAAATGACGAGTTAGTGGGTACAGCGCACCAGCATGGCACATGTATACATATGTAACTAACCTGCACAATGTGCACATGTACCCGAAAACTTAAAGTATAATAAAAAAAAAAAAGCTTAAAAATAAAAAAAAATAAAAAAAAATAAAAAAAAAAAGAAACCTTGTACTTGGAAAGGTTGAGAACCACAGGTCTAGGTTATGCCACAGCATCAAAATGTCATCTCTGCCTCCCTGAGTTCCCTGGCAAGCAACAAAGGGCACTTGAGTCAAGAATACACAAAGACTAAAAGTGCTCCTGCTAAGCCTTCTCTTCTAAAGGGCTCTGGTAGTCATTGCCTGAGTTTGTCCACATTTGTGAAATCTGTTTCAGCAAAAAGGTCAGCCCTTTGGCCAGAAACAGCTTAAACCATTGTGGACAAAGATTTCCTTCTTTTTGAATATAGATAAATTGAGAGAAGGTAGTTGACCACAAGGCTTACACTGTTGCAATGTTTCCAAATTCCAGCGATGTCTTTCTAAATATTTACTTTCATTTAGAGGCTTTTCAATTAGGTGCTAAAATATTAGCAACTTCACCCACTAGTCACCTGCTGTCACTATAAGCACATTCTAACATTCATGCAACAAATACATATGCACATACATACACTGCAATGAACACTGGAGGTGAAATGGTGAACATAAGAAACAGTAAAGCCATTGTGGAACTCCATATCAAGAAGAAAGCTCTGGAATCTCATTAGATTCCAGTTTTCTGGAAATTTCTAAATAAAGGATACTACTATCAAGAAGACATAAGCTCTGTGTTATTTATTCTTTCTGTGTCTATAAGCATAGTTAAAAAGTTAACATAGCAGCCCTTCAAATATCTGCATCATTATCAGTGATGGAGATAAGGCTTCGGCAGAACCAGTGCAATGGGTTTGTTTATAAAATCCAGTTTCATTTTGCTCTGCCTGAAAACACAAGACTCCGTTTCCAAATTTCCCTTGCTAAGGTCACAGCTGTGTAATCTGTCTGTCTTGCGAAAATGTGAATGAAACTGATAGATGTAACTTACAGTCAGAAGTAAAAGGGGGTATATGTTCTCCACCTTTCTTCTAAGACCATTAAAGACCCAATGCTAAAGTCACATTAGTAAGAAATAAACATTTCTATGATAAGTTTCTGTTATTTCACATCTTAATTTGCTACCTAACTAATACACAGTGTGTTCTAAACAAGTTACTTTTCCAAATAAGCTGAAGATTAGTCATTAAGCAAAAGGGCATGCAGATTTGTACTTTATGATTGAGATCTTTGGAAAGCTTTGTGACTTCTAAGTCACTATGCTTTTTCTGTAGAATGCATACAATATCACATGCTATGCAATATTATCATGCAAATTAAGTCAGAGAACTAAATGAATAAATTTGAGTGTGTGTGTGTGTGCATGCGTGTATTCACACTTCAGGTATATAAAACAGCTCAATAAATGCTAGTTTCCTCTGTCTTGTATTATTTCTAGCAAATGTAATTTGACTAGCAATTAATTAGATGTTTAGAATAATATAGTTTCAAGGATAAACGGAATCTGAAAAATACCCAATCCAGTCCTTATTATATAGATGGGCAAACTAAAGTAGAGAAGTAAATGGCATTGCCTACAGTAACATATTTTTTCTATTATACCATCTGCTATTGAATTAAAGTTAAAAACTGTTAAGAAATTTAATAAATTATTATCCTTTATATTAGATACCATAGCATCAAAATGTGGAATTTAAAGAGTTATTCATACACACGTTTGGTATTAAAATGGCTGCTCAGTCTTGCCCAAATGTACTGAAATTAGAGGCACAGATATTTCAAGCAGTGGTCAGGTATGGTGACAATGAAGTAGTGTCTTTTCTTTATGCAAAGCTAATTGGCTTATGTATAAATTGACTGTACAACTTTGACTTCATTAGTGAATCAAGTAAGTTAATTCGTGCAAGTAATGTAGCATAGAAATTAACAGCAACAACACTCATCAATATAGACTTTTGTCTGAATTCCAGTTTCAGTATCTTCTAATTCTGGAGCCATATGCAATTTCACCACTTTTTAGCTTTAGGATGCTAACTCTCAGTTTCCTCCTCTACGAAATCAGGGTAAGAATATTTGCTATGTAGAATTTTTTTATTATTAAATGAGTTAAAGTTTGTAAAATCACTTAGTACAGTGTCTAACAAACAGTAAACACCCACTAATGATAATTATCATGATGTGCATTAAATCTATTCTTTTCAGTATAATCATACAATGGATAAATCTGGGTATAAATATTCATACTCACATATATATTATGGATGAAAGCATGTTACATCTGCTAAATAGTTTTTGGCACCTCTAAGAAAATATTATTATAATTGAGTTACCACATAGAATTCCACTGTTGGAAAACATGAGTGAAATCTCATATATAATATAGGCTTAAGGATTAAAATGTGTATAAACTAAATTTTCAAAAATATTTAAGATGTTAGCATAAACTCTTAAAGGTACTTATTAAATAGCAAATTCTTTTCTCTGCCTTAAGTACAGTATTACCAAATTTCACATATTATCAATTACTCACAGTTATTATGACATCAACTATACATGCCACATCTGCTCCTGATGTGGGATACAGAAAGTAAGGAGTATGAACCCAAAGATATCCTAGACACTTGCTTTCTATTTAAATTGAATAATTAGCTTGCTTTTTACTCATTTACATTTTGCTTGTGAAATTGAAGTCAGTAATGTTGAGCAGTCTATTCTTCAGGTCAATAGAACACCACTAACTTTTTGAAGAGCAAATTAATAGATTAAAGATTGAAGTAATCAGCCCTGAAATGTTTTACTCACCCTTCAGAAAATTATCTTTCTAACTTGTGCTTCCAGGATCTTTTGAACTGTTAGCACCATGCAAAACATTTCTTACGATTTTACCATGAGCGTCATTTCTTATTGTCTTCATTGCTTCTCACATTGCCCTTTTCATGCCTGAACCAAATGAACAAACCTGCCTGTTGAATGTGCATTAGAGTCTGGAATAACTCTCCACTCCATAACAGGTGTGAGTTTCAAGATGCCTTTGTGCTTGCTGAGCTATGCTTTCCTTATCCAACCTCCTACTCTGCTTTCATGGGACTGGGAAACTGCCTCAGGTCCTGATTTATATTCCAGTTTTCTGACTCGGATTGGATCTTGTTTCTGAGCTCCAACAATCACAACAAGGTTCTGAAACAGTCCCAATTTTCCTAAGAGTTGGACCTTCTCTCCCTTTTGCCAGCAACTGGCTAGAATCCTACTTCAATCCAGATGGATTTCCACACTCCAGAAACCACACAATTCCCATCCACCTGTTTCTGAGTAGCACTGCTACTGGAAAACTACAGCTGCTGGGGCCCAACCACCTAATTTGAATCTTGGGATGTCAACTAAAGCCCAGATAGAGAAAGATTTGCTCCATCAACTTGGACCCTGAATCAGGTTCCTGCCACCTTACTTGGAGGCCAACTCTCCCACTGATTACGTTTCCCTAGTCCTGGTACTGCCTATTCCTAACTTATTTTTCTCTTCCTGCAGGCTAAATAATTGAGGGCTCATGGTGCCACATGACCTGCCCCACCAAGTTTATTACAATAAATACCTTTGGCAGCCTAATGCTGTCTTCTTTCTCTCTGGCACCTTTCATTAATACAGTGTCAATGAAAAGTATCCTCAGTTATACCAAGTATTTCTCCAGAACATTTTGGGCTCATTTCCAAGTCCCTAATGCCTCACCAGCAAACTAATATGGGATTCTCTACAGTTAGGATACTGAGCTTTAAAAAATGTGTATAGTTCATGTAGAGTCCTCTGTGGACCAAGAAAGGGAAGCCTTTGTTGCTAGCTCTTCTCTCACGCCACACTTCTGGAGCTTTCTTTTAGTGCCACTCCCAGCTCCTGGTCTTCCTCCTGTCTTCTCCTCTCCTGTTTTTTCCCCACTGTTTCTATTGTTTCTATTCTCTGCTTCACTTCTTTTTCTTTTCTTTTTTTCCATCCTCAGTCTGCAATGAAGACCTTCATAACATAGCTTTGCATACTTGGAAGTATATCTATAGGACAGATTCCTTAAACTGGACTTACAGGGGCTGTTCAAAACTTTCTAATATGTAATAAAAAGCAATGGTGACATCCTACAAAAATGTTTTGCTTTCCATTCCCTGTTAAAAGAGTACAGCTTTCTATACTATTCTAAGTTATGTTAAGAGCATTAGTTGTTGTGGGAAGGGTGAGAACCTGAGAGGAGGTGGGAGAGAAAGAAAATAATGGAAATAGAGAAAAGAGGAAGAGAGAAAACTGGAAGATTTTCAGGCAAATTAGAGAAACATTTGGTGGGGAGGAAAAGATTTAAGCGATGCCCAAGCACAATAGCATTCACTTCCAAATTTAAAATTGTCTGCTGATGGTGGCGGAAAACCTGTAACTCTTTTTGTAAATCTTATTTTCACTATTATAGTCTTCTCAGGCTGACATAATTACCTTTTGGGGTTTCATCAGCCTTTGGCAAAATTACAGCATCTACATTTCAAATATGTTCTATTTCCAGAAAGGAATCTACAGCCTCTTATTTTTTAATACATGGCAGGTGGCTAGCTGTTAACTAACTTTTTTTCCCTAAAGAATGACATAATTAACCCAAGTATGTTACATTCCCATTGCTGGATACCCTATAACAAGAAATTGTTAAAATCTGACTTCATTTAATAATAAACTAGTGTTTGAAATTATTATTTTTTCATAACCTAGCATCTTGCCAAATTCACCCAAGGTTCCCTTTCACATAATAGCCGTCTGTTATTCTCACTCGATTTCACCCTGCAGCAGGTGACAGCTTTGTTGTCAGTCCACATGAGGATAGACTTTGGAACAAAGAAAAGGAAAATTTATCAAAGTAGGTATCTGTGTCCTTCTTAAAAGTAGTTTGTCTTCCAATTTCATGTGCACGTAGGCAACTGAAAATGTTTGGCTGACACTCCTCTGGGAAGTATGGTAAAGTTGAGGGAGAGTAGCTGGCCCCTTGATGTCAATACCAATGGTGTGTGAAGAATGGCTCAAGGAGAATTCAGAACAGGTGGTACTTAAATTTTAGATTTCCAAGTTTAACCATATCAACTCAACCAAGGAGATCAGGCCTTTGCCAAGGAAAAAGAAGCCAAATTCTGAGTAGGCTGCTTTATAAATCTGATCCCAGTTGGTTATTTTGCAATGAGAAGCATGCTTTTGAATGAAAAGCTAGTCTTCTCTATTACCCAGAATAACCCCTGCCTAGAAAGAAGATGGTTTTTAAACAAAATTGTTTGCTAAAACACAGCTATGTCAGCATGGAATCAGCAAATGGGGTATAACATGATAAAAATAATAGCACCTGCTCATTTTATTGCTTATGATACTTTACACCAGAGCTGGCAAATTTTTCTCTGTAAAGCTTCATGTTGTAAATATTTTTAACAGCACAGGCCACAGTCTGTATCACAGATATTCAACTCTGCCTTTGCAGTGTGATGTCACTGTAGAAAAGGTGAATAAATAAGTAGGCAAGGCTCTTTTTCCCCCCCAAAAAACTGTATATACAAAAACAGGCAGCATGTCAGATTTGCCCTTGGTCTACTCCACATTCAGGTGTGCAATAATATATGAGATTTATCACAGTTACCAGAGGTAGATGTGACCTATTTTATAGGTAAAGAAACTGAGATTAGGAGGAATTAAGTGCTTTACCAGAAGTGGTACGGTAAATAATGCTAAGTACCTCAAACTAGACTTTGTATTTCAAGTCTCATTCTACTATATCAAAGTTGACTAGTCTGGAGTTTATTTTATCCAAGAAGTGGTGAAATATCATTAAAAATTTGTATTAATTCAAAATGAAGTATTTTCTTCCACTCTTCAGGATATTTGTGTCAATTGAGTGTTATTACTTTTCCCTAACAGCATAAGAGAAACACCAAAAATTTAATTCTTTCACTCAATTATTTTTCTAAACTCTAGGTTTATGCTAGGATCTGACTTCGAACATTTAATTCCAATATAAGTCGGTGGCACCAAGAAAAGTTTCTTAAATTTCTAAAACTGCATTTATCTTTTTCACAATTTCCAACCATGCTGAGCAGAAGTTATTTTTTTTTTAACTTACCAATTAAAATATTTCCAACTCCTCTGGTTTCAACAATCCCTTTTCAGTCTCTTCAAAGTTAAACATCCTATTAAGGCTGTTTCAAATTTACCTCTTTCACATAATGTACTATTTTATAGGTAAGTGCTCAGTCTTTCAGATTTCACTCTTTCTCTTTACTTTTCTCAAGTTTATATGCATGAGAGGGGTTGACCTTGTCCTTACAGAAGTGGGTGAAGGAGACATGAGGTGAATGTTCCTCAGATCCATGAGGTATTGGATCTCTATTGTCTCTTGTGCAGAATATATGAACCCCAGATTGGTGACTGCCAAGAGGCAACAGGCTCCACTAGGCTTTTGGGATGACATGTTGGGAACCCTGCTAGAACTCATAGTACCAACATCTTCACCCAGTCTCAAAGTCTATGGTGGCAACTTTGTCTTGACTCCAAGTCTCCGCTACCCAGGGGCAATTTTAACACCTCTTCATTACTTCACTGGGATATACAGGAAAGTCTGTGATTCCAGAATGCCCTAAAGACCATCTATCTACCTGCTTTACAGCAAAGATATGCATAATTACCACTTGCCATGTTAGCAGTATCTGTGGGCTAGACTCCCAACTGAGGCTTGAAGACACTCAGGAAACCATGATCAGCCTGAATGGACTCAGGCCCTCTCATAACCATGTCAATTTCTGTTTGCAATTTTAGACAGATAATAAAGCCCTTCTTCATGATCTGCAGACCCTTCTCTCTGTCCTCTCCTTTGCCATCCTTTACCCACCAACTACCAGGACTGCAAGAAGCATATTCTCATTCATTTATTCTTAGTTTTTCTGTCTCTGTCTCTGTCTCTCTCTCTTTCTTTCTCTCTCTCTCTCTCGCTCTCTCCATCTCTTTCTCTTTCTCTTCCCTTCATGAGGCATAACATGAGTGAGGCCAATGAAACTTGGTCTCAGTCATGAGATCTAGATAAAAGAATCTAGAAAATCCTGTTTAACAATGCCTGGCTTTTAAGACAGTTGTCTTCTGTAAACTTCTATTTGTACGATCAGAGGCTGAATATTCATTCACTTTCTCTTTGATTTCACCTGGCATTCTTAATGTCTTTCTGTGGTAGATAGATGCCTAAAGTTAACTGAGAAATTAAATGTGGATATATGCCACACACAAACACACACACACACATATACATACATACCAAAATATATACATATTAATACATTTTTAAAGTATAAACACGAATAACATCAGCAAGGTAACTGACTAGAGTGGTCTGGAATTTGCTGCACCCCCTAAACAAAAAGGAATCAAACAGTGAATAAACAATTATATTTCAACTGGAGCAATTGAGAAAGTATGCTGAAGGAAAATGGCAAAATCTCTGTGGATCATGGAAACCCAAGATAGCACCATAGAGAAGGGAGCAAGACACCCTGCCCCTGCCAGACTGTCTCCCTCACCAGGATAGGCTTTGAATCAGGAGATATTTCTTCTTATAAGATAAAAGTAAGCTGGGGACCCCAAGTGGTCTCCATTGTCACCACAGATGCCAATGATCCTTGCTACAGTACAGCCCCCGTAGTCTTCACAGGCCCTGAATCCAGTTTGGAGAGTTTCTGGGAATTTGCATACCTCCCAGAATCAGGGTGGTCTCAGAATAGGAGACCCCTTCAACCCCCATGACCTAAGCTGCTATGGCACAGCACCATCTTGAAAATGGATCTACTGCTAGAATGCATCTGCCATGGGGTTGAGTGGCCACTCTCTCTATCCCTAAGGACCTACTGCCATTCCACTATGTGAACACTGTTGCCTGCAGCACTATGATCCCACCTACATGAAGCCTAGCCATGGTGGAACAACTGAGACCACAATGTTCAAACCCATGCAATGCCCCATCCCCACCAACCAGGCCGGAGGCAGCACTGCCTCCTCAGAGAAACCACTGTACAACCAAACAAACTACTGTGTTCATGTGAAACTGCAACTGGCTCAATGGCCAGTCTAGCAGCAGGCCTACCTCCACAAAGAGACCACCACACAGCTACCCAGCCTCCCGCACCTACACGTACCAGGCCTGACCACCATCCCAGCTCTTCCACTTTCAGAAAAACCACACCATTGCCATCACAACTGCCATTGCAACTCCCACAGCCTAGTCCACTAAGGCAATCACAGATATAACTGACGAGGATTACAGCTAAAGAAACTGCACAAAGACCATGCTACTGAGCCCCCTAGAACTAAAGGCAATGCACCACACCCAACTGATGTCCTAGGACGAATCTACAGGAAAAAGTCTCTCCTTACAAAACCTATTCCATAAATTTAGAAAAAGCAACTGTTCCACTAGATGTGCAGATATCAACATAGGGAAACAGGAAACATGAAAAAGCAAGGAAATCTAACACCATGAAAGGAACACAGTAAGTCTCTAGTAGCTGACCCCAAAGAAAAGGATATGTACAAAATACCTGAAAAGTATTTCAAAATAATGTTATGAAGGAAACTCAGTGAGATACTGGAAAATACAAACAATTCAATGAAATTAGAAAAACTATTATTGATTTGAATAAGAAATTTAACAAATAGATATCATAAAAAAGAGCTAAAAAGAAATCTTAAAGCTGAAGAATTCAAACAAAAAATACAATTGAAAGCTTCAACCAACCAACTAAATCAAACAGAAGATAAAATTTCTATACTTGAATACAGTCCTTTGAAATAACCCAGTCAGAGTGGGGGGGAAAATAAGAATAAAAAAGAATGAACATTGCCGGTGGGATTTATGGGACATAATTAAACAAATTGTTGCATTGTAGAAGTACCAGAGAGAGAAAAGATGGAGAAAGGCACAGAAAATCTATTTAACAAAATAGTAGCTGGAAATTTCCCAAGTCTTAGGAGAGATTTTGGACCATATCTGTATTCTCCTGGAAGCTCAGAGGTTACCAATTAGATTCAATCCACAAAGATCCTCTCTGAGGCACTTTATAATCAAACTGTCCAAAGTGAAAAACAAAGAGAATTCTAAAAGCTGCAAGAGAAAAGCATCAAGTCACATATAAAGGAATTCCCATTAGACTATCAGCAGATACCTCAGCAGAAACCTTGCAAGTCAAAAGTGAATGGAATAATATATTTGAAGTGCTGAAAATAAAATTAAAAAACTGTTAGACAGGAATACTATATTCACCAATGCTATTATTCAGAAATAAAGAAATGAAGACCTTTCCAGATAAACAAAAGCTGAGGGAATTAATCACCACTAAACTAGCCTTACAAGAAATGTCTAAGGAAGTGCTACAACTGGAAATGGAAAAACAATAATTTTCATCATGAAAACACGTACATCTATAAAACTAACCAATAAAGTTAAATTTATAATCAAACTCAGAATATCCCAGAGCTGTAATGGTGCTACATACATCTTTCAGTCCTCTAGTATGAAGGTTCAAAATCAAAATGGTCAGAAACAACAACAGCTCCAATTAGTGGTTCAGGAATACACAATAGATAAAGATGTAAAATAAGGCAACAAAAGTATAAATTGTCAGGGGGAGGAGAAGAGTCTAGGAGATTTTGATGTGACCAAAGTTGTTATTATCTTAACTTTATATTATAACTATTATAGCTAAAAGACTCTTTATGTTAGTTCCATCCACAATGAGATACCATCTCACACCAGTTAGAATGGCAATCATTAAAAAGTCAGGAAACAACAGGTGCTGGAGAGGATGTGGAGAAATAGGAACACTTTTACACTGTTGGTGGGACTGTAAACTAGTTCAACCATTGTGGAAGTCAGTGTGGCGATTCCTCAGGGATCTAGAACTAGAAATACCATTTGACCCACCCATCCCATTACTGGGTATATACCCAAAGGACTAGAAATCATGCTGCTATAAAGACACATGCACACGTATGTTTATTGCAGCACTATTCACAATAACAAAGACTTGGAACCAACCCAAATGTCCAACAATGATAGACTTGATTAAGAAAATGTGGCACATATACACCATGGAATGCTATGCAGCCATAAAAAATGATGAGTACATGTCCTTTGTAGGGACGTGGATGAAATTGGAAACCATCATTCTCAGTAAACTATTGCAAGGACAAAAAACCAAACACAGCATGTTCTCACTCATAGATGGGAACTGAACAATGAGAACACATGGACACAGGAAGGGGAACATCACACTCTGGGGACTGTTGTGGGGTGGGGGGAGGGGGGAGGGATAGCATTAGGAGATATACCTAATGCTAAATGACGAATTAATGGGTGCAGCACACCAGCATGGCACATGTATACATATGTAACTAACCTGCACATTGTGCACATGTACCCTAAAACTTAAAGTATAATAATAAAAAAATAAAAATAAAAATAAATTACAAGGAAAGAAATTACAGCAGATAAACAAAAAAGAGAAAGTAAACAAAGCTTAGCACCAAAGAAAACCACAAACCACACAGATAAATAAAAAGAGAGGAGCAAAGAATCTACAAAACAACAATTAACAAAAACTTGACATTGGATCCACATCTGTATTCTCCTGGAAACTTAGGTCTCCAATCAGATTCAATCCAAAAAGATCCTCTCTGAGGCACATCATAATCAAACTGTTTATAAACAGTTTTAGAAAAAATGTTTTCTAATCTAGAAAACAATTAACAAAAGGACAGGAGTAGGTCCTTATTTATCAACAAAAACCTTGAATGTAAATGAATTATTCAATTAAAAGATATAAAGTGACTGGATAAATATTAAAAAAACATACCCAACTATATAGTGGCTACAGGAGACCCACCTCACCATTAAAGACTAACAAAGACTAAAAGTAAAGGAATGGAGAAGGGTATTTCATGTAAATAGAAACCAAAAGCAAGCAGGAGTAGCTACTTACATCTGACAAAACAGGCTACAAATTAAAAACTATGAACAAAGATAAAGAAGGTCACTAAATAATGATAAAGGAGTCAATTCAGTAAGAAGACATAGCAACTATAAATATCTATGCACCCAACACCAAAGCTCCCAGGTATATAAGGCAAGCATTAATAGATTTAAAGGGGAAGACAGACTGCAATACAACAATAGTGGGGGACTTCAACACCCCACTTCAATGGACAGATCATCTAGAGAGAAAATCAAGAAAGAAGTATCAGACTTGAACTTTTCCATAGACCAAATGGACCAAATGGACCATAGATCAAAGGGACCATAGACTCAATGGACCTAAGAGACATTCTATCCAACATCTGCAGAATACACATTCTTCTCAACTGCAGATGGAATATTACCCAGGATAGAACATATGTTAAAGCACAAAATAAATCTGAACAAATATAAGAACACTGAAATCGTATCAAGTATTTTTCTGACCACAATGGAATAAAAATAGAAATCAAGAATAAACAAATTTCAAAAACTTTACAAATACATGAGAATTAAACAACATGCTCCTAAACAACCAGTGGGTCAATATGTAAATTAAAAGTGGAAGTTAAAACATTATACCGAAACCTATGGGACACAGCAAAAGCAGTTCTAAGAGCGAAGTTGATAGCAATAAAACACCTACATCAAAAAAGAAGAAAGATTTCTAATGAAAAACCTAACAGTGCATCTCAAGGAATTAGAAAAAAAGAAAACAAAAACAAATACAAAATTCATGGAAAGGAAGAAATAATAAAGCTCAGAGCAGAAATAAATGAATTAGAGACTAAAAGAATTCATAAGATTGATGAAACAAGTTTTTTCTTGAAAAAATAAACAAAACCGGCAAACCCTTAGCTAAACCAACTAAGAACAAAAGAGAAAAGACAAATAAAATCAGATATTAAAAAGTAGACATTACAACTGATAGCACATAAATACAAAGGACCATAAAAGACTATTACAAAAACTATACTCCAACAAATTTGATAACATACAAGAAATGGATAAATTCTTGGGCACATAGAACCTACCAAGATTAAATTATAAAATAATAGAAAATCTGAACAGACCAATAATGAATGAGGAAATTGAGTCAGTAATAAAAAGTCTTCCATCAAAGAAAAGCCCAGGATATGATGACTTCACTGCTTAATTCTACCAAACATTTAAAGAACTAGTAACAATTTTCATCAAACTATTCCAGAAAAATCAAAGAGGAAGAAATACTTCCAAACTTACATTATGAGGAGAACATTACCCTGACTCTCAAACCAGACAATGACACAGCCAAAAAAGAAAACTACAAGACAATATTACTGATAAACATAGACAAAAAAATTTTCAACAAGATAATAGCAAACTGAATTCAACCACACATTAAAAAGATCATTCACTATAATCAGGTGGCATTCAATATCAAGAACACAAACATGGTTTAATAAATGCAAATCAATAAATGTTATATATTGCATTAACAGAAAAAAATAAAAAACCATATGATCATTTCAATAGATGCAGAAAATGCCTTTGATAAAATTCAGCAGCTCTTCATGATATAAAAAACACAACTCTTGACAAATTTGGTGCAGAAGATATACATCCCAACACAATAAAGGCCATATATGGCATACCCATAGCTAACATCATACTGAACCAGGAAAAGCTAAAAAGTTTGTTCTCTAAGAACAGGAGCAAGACAAGAATGCCCACTTTCACCATGTCTATTCGATATAGAACTGGATGTTCTAGCCTGAGCAATCAGACATGAGAAAGAAATAAAAGATATTCAATTGAACAGAAGGAAGTCAAATTGTCCCTGTTCGCAGACATGATCTTATAAATAGAAAACCACAAAGACTTCACCAAAAAACTGTTAGAGCTAAAAAATGAATTTAGTAAAGTTGCAGTTTAAAAAAATCAACATACAAAAATCAGTAGCATTTCGGGCTGTGCCTGGTGGCTCACGCCTGTAATCCCAGCACTTTGGGAGGCAAGGCGAACGGATCACGAGGATAGGAGATTGAGACCATCCTGGCTAACACGGTGAAACCCAGTCTTTACTAAAAATACAAAAAATTAGCCGGGCGTGGTGGCAGGCGCCTGTAGTCCCAGCTACTCTGGAGGCTGAGGCAGGAGAATGGCGTGAACCCGGGAGGCGGAGCTTGCAGTGAGCCGAGATCGCACCACTGCACTCCAGGCTAGGAGACAGAGCAAGACTCCATCTCAAAAAAAAAATAAAATAAATGAAAATCAGTAGCATTTCTATGCACTAACATCTGAAAAAGAAATAAGAAAAGGATTCCATTTATAATAGCTACCATAAAAAAGATATCTAGGAATAAACTTAAGGTGAAAGTTACATACACTGAAAACTACAAAACTTTGATGAAAAAATTGAAAGTACAAAAACATATGACAACATTCATGGTTTGGAAGAATTAATATTCTTAAAATAACCATACTACCCAAAGTGATCTGCAGATTTAATGCATTCTCTATCAAAATATCAATGACATTCTTCACAGAAATAAAAAAAGCAATCCTAAAATTCATGTGGAATCACAAAAGATCACGAACAGCCGAAGCAATCTTGAGCAAAAAGAACAAAGCTGGACGCATCACACTACCTAATTTATAAATATAGGAACCAAAACTGTAGGGTCCTAGCATAAAAACAGACATAGACCAATGGAGCAGAATAGAGAGCCCAGGAAAAAAATTGTGCACCTACGGACAACTGGTTTTCAATAAATGTGTGAGAACACACATTGGGAAAAAAGTCTCTTTAATAAATGGTGCTGGGAAAATTGGATATCTACATGCAAAAAATGAGACTAGACCCCTACCTCTCACCATATACAAAAGTCAACTCAAAATGGATAGAAAGGCTTAAACATAAAACCCAAAACTATGGAACTACTAGACAAAAACATAGAGGAAGTGCCTTATAAAAAAAGATTTTAAATAAAACCTAAAAAGCACAGGTGACACAAGCAAAAACAAATAATTAGGATTAAAGCAAACTGAAAAGATTTTACACCGCAAAAGAAACAATTAACAGAGTGAAGAGTCAATCTCTACAAAGGGAAAAAAAAATTGCAAATTATACATCTCACAAGTTGTTAATATCCAGAATATATAAGCAACTTAACAGGAAACACACACACACACACACACACACAAACACACACACACACACACGACATAGTTTAAAAGTGGACAAAAGACGTTACTAGATATTTCTCAAAAGAAGACATACAAATGGCTAACAGGCATATGAAAAAATGCTCAGCATCACTAATCATCAGGGAAATTCGCATTAAAACCACAATGAGATAACCACTTCACTCCAGTTAGAATAGCTATTTTAAAAAAGACAAAAAAAAGTGTTGGCAATGATCTGGAGAAAAGGAAACACTTTTACACACTGCTTGTGGAACTGTAAATTAGTACAGCAACTATGGAAAACAGTATGGAGCTTTCTCAAAAAAATTAAAAATAGAACTACCATATTATCCAGTAATTTCACTACTGGTTTCACTACATATCCAAAGGAAATGAAATCATGTCAAAAATATATCTGTACTCCCATGTTTATTGCAGCACTATTTACAGTAGCCAAGATAAGGAATCAACCTAACTATACAACAATAAATGAAATAAAGAAATGAAAAAAATTTGGTATATATACACATTGGAATACTATTTAGCCATAAAAAGAATGAAATTCTGTCATTTTTTTGACTACATGGATGAACCTGGAGGACATCATGTTAAGTGAAATATGCTAGGCATAGAAAAGCAAATACTGCATGGTCTCACTCATATGTGGAATCTGGAAAAAAAAAAGTTGATATCATAGATGCAGGAAGTAGAACAGTGGTTACCAGAGACTGAGGAGGAAAGGGGGAAGAGAAAGATGACAAGAGGGTACAAAGTCACAATGAGAAGGAATAAGTTCTAGTGTTCTATTGCACAGTAGGGAGACTATGGCTAACCATAAGGTATTGTATATTACAAAACAGCTAGAAGAAAAGCTTTTGAATGTTCTCACCACAAAGAAATAATAAATATATGAGGTGATAGACATGCTAACTACTTGGGTTTTTTCATTATATAACATACATATGTATATAAACATTAATTGTATCCCATAAATATGTACAATTACAATGGCAGTCTTAAAATTATACATAAAATTATATTACATACTCACTGTTACAGTGTCTCTCAATAAACTCACATATATTCATAATATTAAATTTCTACATTCCTAAAACATTTTTTATGGCTAATACTTTAGTTTGGATGATCAGAGCCAAAGAAATAAATATGTGAGTCATTTCTAAATGGAGAGTTATACTGCAGAGATAAAACCTTTCACAATTCATGGATTCTTTTAATAGCGGTAACAGAGAACAGCACATTTTTACCTATTCAATAGATTAACATTTAAATCCTGGTCCTTACTCCACAGAATTGTGCAAATAGATAAGGGGGGGGGTGTCTAAAACAATTATGTAAGATAGTCAAGATAGCATAATAGAATGTGCATTTGAAATGCCTGGATTAGAATATAGGCGATTGAATTAAAACATGGCACTTCTCAACAACCTAAAAACTAAAAATTTCAGGTTTCTGTGAGACAAGATGTCATCTTATATTATTATTATTATTATTATTATTATTATTATTATTATTATTATTTTAATTGAGACTGAGTTTCGTTCTTGTCGCTCAGGCTGGAGTGCAGTAGCACAATCTCAGCTCACTGCAACCTCTGCCTCCTGGGTTCAAGTGATTCTCCTGACTCAGCCTTCTGACTAGCTGGGATTACAGGCACCTGCCACCACGCCCAGCTAATTTTTGTATTTTTACCTAGTCAGGGTTTCACCATGTTGGCCAGGCTGGTCTCAAACTCCTGACATCAGGTGATTCACCCTCCTTGGCCTCCCAAAGTCCTGGGATTACAGGCATGAGCAATCGTGCCCGGCCTTATTTCCTTAATAGTCTAGAGTCAAAACTGAAATAATTTCATCACACACATGACATCATAATAACCATCTCTGTGATCCCGTCTGTCATTTGACTATTTTATAAACAGAAAGTTTATTTTATTACTATAATTTTGCAAAGCCCTTTTTTGACAGCATATTAACTTATCCTAATAATACTCTATTCAATGAGTAAATCCTCATATATAGATCAGTAATCACACACACACACATTTTATGATCTACCCAGAGCAGTTTATAATTTTATTATAAAGTTTCATTTGAGGAGTCATGTAACTATGTTATATTCAAATCTGTGTTATGAGTCATGTGGTAACAAAGGTCTTCCCTAATTATATTTCTAATTAAAGTTTCCCTATAAGTCCTTTTCTCCAACTCATTGATCATTTTTGTGATATTTGAACCATTTCAACATTCCTACGTGTTAGATGAATTCAACAGTCTAATAATGTTTTGAATATTTGTTTATTTTTTTTGAAAAATACTGAAAAATCTCTGGTTTTATTTTTCCTTTATTACTCCTTTCCTGCTTGCATTTGATATCCTTTTGTTAGACTGTCCATTGGTTTCTATACTAAATTATAAATGCTTGCCTTACTTCATGGGTTCTACATCTTTTACTGTATCTTGAAACCTATTTTTTAAATTCTGGAAACAATAGACATTAACATTGCACTTAAGCTATCGACTATAAAGCTGTTACTGGTTTAACTCAAATTACCCTATGTGGAGAATTCATGTCCCAACACACAATTGTTGAATCTTTATATGTAGAATGACATATCAAATATACTATGTTTAAGACAGTTAATCACCCCTTGCTCATGAGGAAAACAGAAATGTTTTGTTAGCATATACTATGCTTAAGACAGTTAATTGCCCCTTGCTTGTGAGGAAAACAGAAATATTTTGTTAGCAGGTGTTACTTATTGAGTAGCTGGACTGCCTCAGTAAAAGTCCAAGAACAGTAATTTGGAGGGAGCAAATACAGTGACATAGAAAGAAATTCTACTTTCCAAGAAATCCTAAGTGCTTTTAAACCATGCTCTTCTTCTTGAGACACTGAAAGCACCTGGCCCTTCCATCTTTCATCCCATATTCCTTTTCAGGGTCTAGGACTTATTTAGGGAAATACATCAGCTTTTTTGTCACTTGCTTCTTAAGACTTCTTTGTGCTTCCCATACTAGTGGATCCTTTCTGCCTTGTTAATTGCCTCAGACTAATCAAGTAAACTAAACTCTCATTCTCTCAATGAACAATAGGTAAGCATTAACTGAAATCTCATAAATATCTGTATTTAATCTTTCTATGAAAACAGACATGTAGCCTCTGTTTCTCACTGGGAGGTGAAGCCGGCTGGGCTTCTGGGTTGGGTGGAGACTTGGAGAGCTTTTCTGTCTAGCTAAAGGATTGTAAACACACCAACAAGCGCTCTGTGTCTAGTTAAAGGTTTGTAAATGCACCAGTCAGTACTCTATAAAAATGCACCAATCAGCACTCTGTGTCTAGCTGAAGGTTTGTAAATGCACCAATCAGCACTCTGTGAAAACCGATCAATCAGCACTCTGTAAAACGGAGCAATCAGCACTCTGTAAAATGGACCAATCAGCAGGATGCGGGTGGGGCCAATAAGGGAATAAAAGCTGGCCACCTGAGCCAGCAGCAGCAACCAGCTGGGGTCGCATTCCACACTTTGGAAGCTTTGTTCTTTCGCTCTTCACAATAAATCTTGCTGCTGCTCACTCTTTGGGTCTGCACTACCTTTATGAGCTGTAACACTCACTGCGAAGGTCTGCGGCTTCACTCCTGAAGTCAGCGAGACCACAAACCCACCAGGAGGAACAAACAACTCCTGACGCACCACCTTTAAGAGCTGTAACACTCTCTGCAAAGGTCTGCGGCTTCACTCCTGAAGTCAAGCGAGACCACGAACCCACCGGAAGGAAGAAACTCCAGAAATAGCTGAACATCTGGAGGAACAAACTCTGGACACACCATCTTTAAGAACTGTAACACTCCCTGCGAGGGTCCACGGTTTCATTCTCGAAGTCAGCGAGACCAAGAACCCACCAGAAGGAACCAATTCCGAACACACCACCACTAAGCCTCAGTGCCAAACACAGCATCTGACTGTGTGATGTCCACACAGGTTTGTTAAACACTTCACGTGGTGATAATATTTACATGTAAAAGAGTCTCCTAGAGTTTTAAAAATATGAGTTCTTTTGACTCATATATACGTAAGACATATTATTTTTCCTTGTAATAAAACAAGATGTTCTTATTAATAAGGTTCTCTACATTCTCATTTATAAAATCTCTCCTACCTTTCCCTTGGCAATATGATTTTATGAACAGCTAGAAAGGTCTTTCTGTTTTTTTCACATCTGCTCACTGATTCAAACACCAAGTTTCCGTTTTCTCATCAACAAAGTGGTCAATAAATAAGAAACAACCTCTTCCTCATAGTATAGTTAAGAGGATTAAATGCAGCAAATTACTCAAGAGTAGATTCACTCAAAAATGCCTGCCAGATATTCCCAATGCTCAATAAATATCAATTGCCTTTTTCTCTTTCTCTTTTTGTTGCTGCAAAACAAAATATCATCTGCAACTATTTGATTAAGAAAAGATGAGACTCACCATTTACATAAAGCCTTTTTCTACCTTAGAAAGTAAGCAAACTTACAGAGCAGTGCTAAACACAAATGCCAGTTGTATAGGTGACAGAGCTGAAGTAAGTTCACTAAATCATGAGAGAATACAAAGTTTAATAAAGAGGAGTTTAATTGGAAACTGTAGTACCTCCATCTGCTCCAACATCTTTTATTGGATCCTGATTATTATTACCCATGGCAGATAAGCTTTAGACCACTCTGAATAAGGTGAAGTGTGACACTAATTGTTACATTTGAACTTTTACCAGATTAGAAATTGTGCAGCTAAGCACACACCATATAATAAATTTCAGGTCCCTTTTTTCTGTTTTCAGGAGATTACTAGGATGTTTTGATGTATTATTTAGAAATCAATTTTGCACAGGATAATATGTTCCCTAAGACTTTGTGTCAGGTGAAAGAAAGGAACACAGCCACACCAGTCTAGTGCAAAGGAAGATGTAGTTAGCATCCACCTTCCTAAACGCAGGGCCAGCCCAATCTGCAGGTCAATTACAGAACCAAAAATATTGTCTTTGTTTAGGAAAAGTACCTCTTTACATGAAAAAAAATCTCTGTGTTTGGAAGAACTGATCCAATTCAGAGGAAGGAGAAAATGAACCAACACTTAGAATATAACAGGCTAGGCACAAAACTCTACTAATAGGAACTGTTATTCATATTTAACAGAAAAATGAGCTCATGGAAGTTAAATGGAAGTCGCACAGCTAGCAAGTAAATAAACAAGGATTCAAACTTAGCAGGGTGTTTTTTCTGCCTTTCAAACACGCTTGATTCTACTCCTCCTTCCTGTTTCATAAGCAAAAGACTCAGAGGATTGTTGCTAGGATCAAATTAATAATGTATTAAGTAAAAGAAATGTGCTTTAAAACCTGAAGGATGGAGGTGTCTGGTAAACACATAGGCACACCCTGACCCAGTTTTTCCACAGTAAAATGGAATGTTGCAAAAATAAAATTGGATGAAATTCTACGAACCCTTTAGAAAGTTAAAATACTATAATTTTGTTGTTGTTGTTGTTGTTGTTGTTGTTGTTTTTGAGACAGAGTCTTGCTCTGTCACCCAGGCTGGAGTGCAGTGGTATGATCTCAGCTCACTGCGACCCCAGCCTCCTGGATTCAAGTGATTCTCCTGCCTCAGCCTCCTGGGTAGCTGGGATTACAGACATGCGCCACCACACCCAGCTAATTTTTGTATTTTTAGTAGAGACAGGGTTTTGCCATGTTGGCCAGGCTGGTCTTGAACTCCTGACCTAAGGCAATCCACCCGCCTTGGCCTACCAAAGTGCTGGGATTACAGCTTGAGCCACCACGCCCGGGCACTGTAATGTATTTTAATTGCATTTATGTTATTTACAGTAAAGAATCAGAAAGCCATGTGCCTTGAGACCCTTCTTTCTTCCCTGACTTTTCCTCCTCACTTCTCTTTCACCTCTCTCCAATCACATATTCCCATATGTGAAGACAGCTAAGTCCTTAAAACAAATTTTCAAGAAAATAAAAATAGAGGGTGAAGAGGAGAATGTATAAAAGCTTCACGGAGGAAGGAAATTGTATTCATAGCTAAGGGCAGCATTCTCAGAATTCTTTCAGAATTATAAAATACCCTTATTTATTTGATTTATAAGCTCCTTAAGGGCAGAGATGGTATCTTAAGGTTCTTTGTACTCCCAGCAAGTAGCACAGAAAAAAAACCTTAATAAATGTTTACTGTTGATAGACAATACATACACGGAGAGAGAGAGAAAGAGAGGGGAATTATGATTAATTTATAGTGAATTCTTTCACTGCAAGAATTTTACTGCACCCCTCTTGTATTAGTCTGTTCTCATGCTGCTAATAAGAACATACCTGAGACTGGGTAACGTATAAAGGAAAGAGGTTGACTCACAGTTCAGTGAGGCTGGGAGGCCTCAGGAAACTTACAATTATGGCAAAAGGGGAAGCAAACATGTCCTTCTTCACATGGCAGCAGGAAGGAAAAGTGCCAAGCAAGGGGGGAAAAGCCCCTTAAAAAAACATCAGGTCTCGTGAGGACTCACTCACTATCACAAGAAGAGCAGCATGGGGGTAACCATCCCCACAATTCAATTACCTCCCACTGTGTCCCTCCCACAACAGGTGGGGATTATGGGAACTACAATTCAAGATAAAATTTGGGTGGGGACGTGGCCAAACCACATCACCTCTTGAGATTACTGAAACAACTATGATGAGTTTCAAATGCAGATTAGAAGTTTCATATTTTAACAGGGGAAGAAAAAGAATTAAAAATTCAAATTAAGTGGCCACTAGTTAGGGAGAAACAAGAAAATTATGATGTAAACAAAGGCAAGGGAAAAATTGTTTTAGGAAGAGAAAGGATAGCATCATTTCTACAGCGAGGTCAAATATAATATGTAAGGAGGTGTCCAAAGGATTAAGCAACAAGGAGCACATTGATAAACTCATCAGAAGAAGTAAATTGATTCAGTCTTCTAATATGACTATAGTTTTGTTTATTGAAAGAACATCTAAAATGTCTAAATTATCTCATGCTGATTTACATGAAAAACCAATTGCCCATAATAAATGCATTCATCCATTTGTACAAATTGAGCACTTGCCATCACTGTGCTGGACAGTGGGGATAAAGAATAGATAAATATTGTGAATGTTTAGGCCACCATTCATCTACTTTACCATTTTTCTCAAACTTTGGTTTGCATCAACATCAACTTGAGAGACTTTTGGAAAATACATTTGGAAACCACATAATTTTCATTTGGATTTAGCCCAAAACTGAGTGAATTTGAATCATCCACTATAGGACCAAAGTATCTATATTTTTATAAACTTCAAATGTAATTTTAATTCACATCGATGTTTTAAACCCTAACATATTATTTCTCTAATAGCCATATTGTAAAGGTAAATCTGTGGTTTCCATTTCTATTTCAGAAAGACAGAAAACTCAGATAACCTAAAAATGTTCAAGCTCTAACACCAAGAAATGCTGGGTAGAATATAATACCTTTTTGCTTCTGGTTAAAATGTAAAAGATGAAAAAAACCTTGGTTCTTGTGGTAACAATGAGAAAAACCTAGACCAAAGAAAAGTTATAATTTTAATGTGACTAAGGAAGATTAGATGCTTCAAAGAAGCCTTGATAAACGCATTCGTACATACTGAATTCTTCCATACCTTGGTACAGGTATCTGGTTTAGCTATGGCAAATTAAAGTGAGAGGTGCTAAAGATGGAAAGACTTTTTGGAAAATAAGAGAGGTCAGAATTACCTTGAATGATCATGTGACTGAACTGGAGTATAAAAAACGTCCAAGCATGAAACAAATTGCTGGTCGGATAATTCTCTCCACCAACAGTACCCTCAAATTTTGCTAAAAGAGCTGCAGTAAAGGAAGATCTGAAAACACGATCCTGTGCGTTCTCAAAATGACTGGATTTTTGAGTCCTAAAGTTGATGAATCCGAAGAATAACCAATGTATTGGAAAGTGCAGCCAACTCACTCCAGACTCAAATATTTACAAGCTAAAAGGGGGTTGAATTCAATATAATTATAGCTGTTGCCCAGCCTTATCTCAACACAATATGCTAAGGACAATAAATGATAAGGACCTCATTCTAATCATATAACCTAGGAAAGGGATTTTATTCTCTGGACTTCAGAACAACCAATATGTTACTTCAATCTCAACTTTTGAATGAATGATATTTGGCATAAAAATTTTAAAAAGTGAAAGGTAGAAAATTTAAATTGAAGTATCAAAGATCTACTGATACAAGTAGAAAACAAATAGTAAGATGATAGACTTGTACCAAAATCATACCATAACTATGTTAAAAGCTACTGGGAAAAAATTCCAAAACTAAATACTGTTTATATGAGACATGCTTAAAATGTCTCCTGTGAACAGTATTCAGTTTTACATATTTAGCTTTATAGATACTAATAGGTTAAAAATAAGGGAAAAGATACTAAGGCAAACAATAGTTATTAGAAAACTAAAGTAGCTAGCTATATCAATATACAAAATAGATATCAAGACAAAAAGTGCTACAAAAAATTACTCATTTCATGGTGACAAAAAGTTAATTTATCAAAAAAAACACAATACTAAAGAGGTATACACCTAATAACACAACTTCAAAACATATGAAGCATTAATTGACAGTAAGGGGCCATACTCTTGCCAGTGGACAAAGAAAGGGTTCAACTGAACTACAAGTTGTAGCTTCTGCTAGACATTTTGGATTCCTTCTCTCCAAATGTATATTTTGTATAGTTCCGTATTATTAGTAATCATTTCAGTCATTGTTCACAGTTAAATACCCTGCGCAATATGGTAACTTCTCTTCTTGCCTGCCCAGGGTAATTAACTGTGAACAATAGGGGAGGTAGAGGTGGTTTGCATAATAGGGACAGGACAAATATATGTGGAACCCAGGCGATCTTCTTGGATGCCAACTGATACTCCTTTGCCCCACTGTAGCTGTAAATATACATTTGGAGAAGCCCTGGACTGAAAATGATTGCCAAAGTTTCAGACCACTCTGAAAGGAAGATTCGAGTCACACCAGTTAGTAAACTACTGAGATCTAACAGTGTGATAGCTGAATTTGAAATGGAGAATGGAAACTAAAAAGAGAAATATCAGGTTTAGCCCCAATATCAACGGCAGATATTGGGGCTGTAGTTTGTTTCTCTAATATCCTTCTTCCAAATTTCACCTTAAAAATATTAAAGTTATGAATAAGCTAATCCCCGAATTTGTGTGCAGAAGTATTAGTTTGGTGCAAAAGTACTTGCAGTTTTTGCTATTAAAAGTAATAAAAGTGCCCTCATAGAGTTCTCTTGTTCCTTTCTGCCATGTGAGAAATTAAATAGAAGTTGGGTTCTGGAAGAGGGCTCTTACCATAACCCAGCCATGCTGACACCCTGATCTCGGACTTCCAGACTCCAGAATTGTGGGAAATAAACCTGTGTTGTTTATAAGCCACACAATCTATTGCCATTCATTATAGCAGCATTAAGACAGAAGGTGTAAAGAAATACGAGTGGCTGCAAAAAGTTGTTTTGTTTTTATTCATGAGGTTTGGTGCAGCTAAAAGTTTTCTATTCTATATTACCTAAAGTTCTCAATTATCTACTTTCCACTTTTCTCTGAGAAATAAAAGTTAGTATCTGATATGTTTAGGCTTTGTGTTCCCACCCAAATCTCATCTTGAATTATAATTCCCATAATCCCCAGAATCCCCACATGTCAAGGGAGAGACCATGTGGAGGTAATTGCATCATGGGGCGGTTTCCTCCATGCTGTTCTCATGATAGTGAGTGAATTCTCGCGAGAGCTCACAGTTTTATAAGGGGCTCTTCCCACTTCGCTCAGCACTTCTCCTTACTGCCACCTTGTGAAGGTGCCTTGCTTCCCCTTCACCTTCTACCATGATTGTAAGTTTCCAAAGGCCTCCTCAGCCATGCTGAACTGTGAGTCAATTAAACCTCTTTCCTTTATAAATTACCCAGTCTTGTGCAGTTCTTTATAGCAGTATACAAATGGACTAATAGAATATCCAAAACATTAAATACCAAAAAAATTAAAAGATATGCCAGATATTTCTACTGAGACTACAAAACACTGCCAAAAATATTTTAAAGAAAATCTAAATAAATACAAAGATATACATGTTAATGTATCAGAAGATTCAATATTTATAGCTACAATTTTCCTCAAATTGATCTGTAAAATTTTTTTTTGAGTTGGGGTCTCACTCTGTTGCCCAGATTGGAATGCAGTGGCATGATCATGGCTCACCGCAGTCTTGAACTCCTGGGCTCAAGCTATCCTCCCACCTCAGCCTCCCAAATACCTGGGACTACAAGTGCATGCCAATAGGCCCAGCTAAATTTTTTGTTATTATTTTTTTTTTAGAGACTGGATCTAGCTATGTTGCCAAGGCTGCTCTCAAACTTTTTTCTCAAGTGATCCTTTCACCTCAGCCTCCTGATTTACTGGGATTATAGGCATGAGCCACTGAGCCCAGCTTGATTTATAAAATCTTAATAGATAATTTTACTTATCATTCTAATATTTTACTTCAAAGGACAAAGTTCTGAAATCAGACTTAGAAGATGACATTACTCAGACTACTTTTAGATAACAGTGGACTGAGAGTCACAAGAATTCTTTTCCAGTCATGAAGCAATCTACTGACTCAAGATGCAGTGGAATAAAAATTAATTTTATAGAAATGAATACATTAAAGAGAGAAATTTAAATGTAATATTTGAAATATTTTGGTAATATTTATAATGTTTTATTTTTATGGTTATATGAGAAAAAAATTTCTTCTCTTTAAGATATATCTAACCCAAAATAGATTTTTTGTAAACAAAAATGAAAACTTTTAAAGGAACTTTGATTCTCATTGACCCCTGAAAATGCAGACACCTTTACATACTCTCCTTATTATTCACAGAAACATTCATTACTTACATAGATTCAATAAGTGTCTGATTTTGCATTACTCACTTTTATTACAAATGGTAAACCCCATATTAAGGAGGAATAATTCCAAATTCGTATGTGAAGTCAATACCTACGAAGCCTTTTCAAGAATATTGGCCTGGTACTTGTGTTCATAAGGTCTCAATCTACCAGATGGTAAAAAGGTTACTCAGCAGACCAGGAACTACAACAAAATTTGGGAATTGCTAGGAAAAGGAATTCATCCAATTTATAAATACTGGAGATAAAATCTGGTAGAGAGAGTTTTGGGGCTTTGCTTCCTAGTTTCAAGATAGAAATGCACTGTCTTAGTTCATTCAAATTGCTATAATAACACACCATAAATCAGGTAGCTTATAAATAACAGAAATTTATTTCTCACAGTTCTGGAGGCTGAGAGGTCCAAAATCAAGGTGCTAGAAGATTTGTTGTCTGGTGAGGACATGATTCTTGGCTCATAGATGGTCATCTTGCTGTGTCACTACATGGCAGAAGGGAAAACTCTGGTCTCTTTAGGCCCTTATAAGGGCACTAATCCCATTCATGAGGACTAAATCATGACACAGTCACCTCCCAAAGGCCTCACCTAATACCATTATTTGTGGAGTTAGGATTTCAAGGTATAATTTTTTGGGTGGAAGATATTCAGTTCACAGCTAGCAGTTAATAAAGGATTTAAAAATTCCAATCCAAGAAGCCCTATAAATATTTCGGGATGAAATAAATCCCTTAGACTTAGTGATTACTGTATATTACACAACTCTAGATTTATGGAAAAAATCAATGAGACACATATAATTAACACCATGGGTTTTCCTAAATAAGTAATCTGGCCAAATCTGTTGGGACTTGACTTTTTTGTGTGTGGTCAAGAATAAGCTTTAGTGACCACTTTGGCAGCACATATACTAAAATTAAAATGATAGGTGATTTGCATAGCTCCTGTGAGTGGATAACATGCAAATTTGTAAAGCATTCCATATTTTTTATTACCACTAGACCAACCCTATAAGAAATGCCTAAGTCTGGCCAGGCATGGTGGCTGATGCCAGTAATCCCAGCACTTTGTGAGGCTGAGGCAGGCGGATCACAAGGTCAGGAGATATAGAGACTATCCTGGCTAACACGGTGAAACCCCGTCTCTACTAAAAATACAAAAAAATTAGCCGGGTGTGGTGGCGGGTGCCTGTAGTCCCAGCTACTCGGGAGGCTGAGGCAGGCAGGAGAATGGCATGAACCTTGGAGGCGGAGCTTGCAGTGAGTGAGCCGAGATCGCGCCACTGCACTCCAGACCTCTGTCTTAAAAAAAAAAAAAAAAAAAAAAAGAAATGTTTGAGTCCTATACCTGAAAGCAAAAAAGAATATCTACTATCATGAAAACACACAAAACACACTTGAAGAAGATGGCAGATAGGAGGCAGGGCTAATAATGTGCATATCCCATTTGGCAAAAACATGAAAAGAGAAAAGAAGGTCATTATTTAATGGCAAAGGTATCAATTCAGCAAAAGGATAGAACAATTATAAAGATACATATTCACCCAACACAAGACCATCCAGATATATAAAGTAAATATTCTTAGAGCTAAAGAGAGAGATGGATCCTACTAAAACAACAGTTGAGAACTTCAACATCTAGACAAAAATATCAGTGAAGAAACATTGGATTTAAACTGTACTTTAGACCAAATGGATCTGAAAGACATTTATAGAAAATTTCATCCAGCAGCTGCAGAATACACATTTTTCTCATCAGCACATGGAACATTCTCCAAGATAGACCATATGTTAGGTTACAAAGCAAGTCTCAACAAATTTTTAACAACTGAAAGCATATCAAGTCTTTTCAAATCACGATAGAATAAAACTAGAAATCAACAACAAGAGGAACTTTGGAAACTGTACAGATACATGAAAATTATACAATATGCTCCTGAACAACCATTGGGTCAATAAAGAAATTAAGAATAAATTGTTAAAACTTCTTGACACAAATGAAAATGTAAACACAATATACCAAAACTTATGGGTTATAACAATAGTAGTACAAGGAGGGAAGTTTATAGCAATAAATGCATACATTAGAAAGTAGAAAGATTTCAAACAAACAACCTAAAAATTCACCTCAAGGAACTAGACAAGCAAGAACAAACCAAGCTGAAAGTAGAAGGAAGAAAACAATAAAGATCAGAGCAGAAGTAAATGAAATAGAGACAAAAAAATACAATACAAATGATTAACAAAATGAAAAGTTGTATTTTGAAAAGATAGACAAAATCGATAGACCACTAGCTAGATTAACCAAGAAAAAAGAGAGAGAATCCAAATAAGTGAAATAAAAAAGGAGACATTACAACTGATACTATGGAAATTTAAAGCATCATTAAAAACTATTACAAACAACTACAAGCTAAATATTGAAAAACCTGGAAGGGATGGATACATTTCTGGACATATACAACTTCCCAATATTGAACCAGAAAGAAATAGAAAATCGGAACAAATTAGTAATGAGTAACAAGATTGAATCTGTAATAGAAAGTCTCCCAACAAAGAAAAGCTCAGGATTAGATGGCTTTACCACTGAATTCTACCAAACTTTTAAAGGACACCAATTCTCATACTATTCCAAAAAATTGAAGAGAAGAGAATTCTTCCTAACTCATTCTACAAGCCAGCATTGCCATAATACCACAACCAGACATGAACAAAACAGAAAAGAGGAAATTACAGATCAATATCCCCAATGTATATAGATGCAAATATCCTCACCAAAATACTAGCAAATCAAATTAACAGTATATTAAAAGAATTATACATAATGATCAAGTGGAATTTATCTCAGGTATGCAAGAACGGTTCAGCATATGTAAATTGATAAACGTGATACATCACTTCAACAGAATCATGGACAAAATCCATATGATGAGCTCAATAGATGCAGAAAAGGAATGTGACAAAATTCAACATCTCCTCATAATAAAAACTCTCAACAAATTAGGCATGGAAGGAACATATGTCTACATAATAAGAGCCATATAAGACAAGTAAATAGCTAACACTTGATGGTGAAAAGCTGAAAGCCTTTCCTCTGAGAATTTGAACAAGGCAAAGATGCCCACTTTACCACTCTTACTCAATATATTCCAATACTGGCAGCCTGAACAATTAGGCAAGATAAAGAAATAAAAGTCATCCAAATTGAAAAAAGAGGAAGTTAAATTGTCCCTCTTTGCAGACAATATGATCTTATATGTAGAAAAGCCTAGAGACTTTTGCCAAAACCCTCTCAGAACTGATAAACAAATTCAGTGAAGTTGCAGAATACAAAATCAACATGTAAAAATCAGTAGAATTTTTATACACCAATAAGTAAGTGAAAAATAAATTAAGAAAGCAATCACATTTACAATATCTACCCAAAATACCTAAAAATAAATTTCACCAACAGATGAAAGACCACTATAATGAAAACTACAAAACACTGATGAAAAAAAAAATGAGGACACAAACAAATGGAAAGACATCCTATGCTCATGGATTGGAAGAATTAATATTGTTAAAATGACCATACTGTCTAAAGCAATGTTCAGATTCAGTGCAATCTGTATCAAAATATCAATGACATTCTTCATGATAATAGAAAGAACAATCCTAAAATTTCTGTGGAACCTCAAAGGACTCTGAATAGTGAAAGCAATACTGAGCAAGAGAAAAAAGCTGAACCAGAATAGCATGGTCTTGGTATTAAAATGGGCACACAGAACAATGGAACAGAATAAAGAACCCAGAAATAAATCCACGTGTTTACAGCCAACTGATTTTTGACAAAGAAGCCAAGAACACACACTGGGGAAAGGACATTTTCTTTAATAAATGGTACTGGGAAAACTGGATATCCATATGCAGAAGAATAAAACTAGATCCCTATCTTTCAATATGTACAAAAATCAACTAAAAATAGATAAAACACTTAAACACAAAACTATGAAACTACTAGAAAAAAAAAACAGAAGAAACACTTCAATACATTAGTCCAGGCAAAGATTTTATGCCTAAGAGTTTAAAATTACAGACAACAAAAACAAAAATAGTTAAATAGGACTGTACTAAATTGAAAATCTTCTGTACAACAAAGGAAACAATCAATAAAGTGAAAAGACAATCTATATAATGGGAATAAATATTTGCAAATTATTCATCTGACAAGGGACTAATATCCAGAATATACAAGGAACCCAAACAACTCAATAGCAAAAAAATAAAAATAAAAAGTCACTTTAAAAAGTGGGCAAAGGAACCGAATAGACATTTCCCGAAAGAAAACATACAAATAACCAACAAACATAAAAAAAATGCTCAACATCATTTTCAGGGAAATGCAAATCAATAGTTTTCTTGTTTTCACATATAAGTGAGATATGTGGTATTTATCTCTCTGTGCCTAACATACTTTGCTTAACATTGTGTCTTTCAGGCTCAATATCATCTCACCCCAGTTAGAATAGCTATTAACAAAAAGACAGAAAATAACAAATGCCAGTGAGAATGTATAGAAAATGGAACTCATACACCGTTGGTGGAAATGTAAATTTATACAGCATTATGGAAAAGAGTATGGTAGTTTCTCAAAAAAGTGAAAATGGAACTACCATATGATCCAGCAGTTCCACTTCTGGATATTTATTCAAAGGAAAATAAATCAGTATCTCAAAGGGATACCTGCAACCCCACGTTTATTGCAGTACTTAATATTCATAATAGCTAAGATATGGAATCAACCTAAATATTCATTGATGGATGAATGGATAAACAATGTGTGGCATATATACACAATGGAATACTGTTCAGCCATAAAAAAGAATAAAATCCTGTCAAGTGTGGCAACATGGGTAAGCCTGATGAACATTATGTTAAGCAAAGTATGCCAGGCACAGAGAGATAAATACCACATGTTCTCACTCATATGTGAAAACAAGAAAACTGTTTTGAGCCCATGGAAGTATAGAGTACAACTGAGTATTAGAGGCTGGGAAGGGTAAGGAGGAGGAGAGAATGGGGAGAGGTTGTTTAAAAGATATAAAATTACAGCTAGATTTTAAAAAAATGAGTTCTGGTGCTCTGGAGCACTGTACAGTAAATACGGCTAATAATAATGTATTACATATTTTCAAAAAGCTACATTGAGAGGATTTTGAACGTTCACAACACCAAGAAATAGTAAATGTTTGAGGTGTTGAATATGCTAACTACCCTCTTTGATAATTACACAATGTATCAAAATACCACTCAATCCCACAAATAGGTACAATTATTATATGTCAACTAAAAATAAAAGGTAAAAAGTAATAATCTTTAGAGATTATTTATGGTCACAGGGGATCAGAGAGGGAAGTACTGCTGGAAAGAAAATGTCCAAGACTTGAAAATAGGCCAAAGAGTGTGCTAGGGATTGTTTTAACGGAGTACTAGGCATTGCCCAGTAGATCCCCTAAAATTTTCTGACTCTACAGGGGCATGAAACCCTTATCTTTCTATTGACTGGGTAATTTTGTAACTCCATAGAGGTAGTGATTAATCTGTAGAAAACTGAAAGCCTTTAAAATAATTTTTAGCAATAAAATGATCTCTGTTCATAACAATGAAAACGAATTTTGTTCAGTAGAGAATATAAACCTCTACACAATTGGTCCTCTGTATTTGCAGGTTCCACATCAGTGGATTCAACTAACTACAAATAGAAAATATTTTTAAAATAAAAAATAACACAACCATAAAATAATACATATTTTATTTAAAAAATATAGTATAACAACTATTTATATAGCATCTACACTGTTTTGTGTATTATAAGTAATGTAAATATGATTTAAAGTATATGGAAGGATGCATGCAGGTTATACACAAATACTACACCATTTTATGCAATAGACTTGAGCATCCATGGATTCTGGAATCCACAAGGAGGGCTGAAACCAATCCCCTGCAGAATGACTAATTCAAAATTTCATATGAACCAGTTAAAAATTCTTACCAGTGGCCAGGCACGGTGGCTCACACCTGTAATCACAGCACTTTGGGAGGCCGAGGTGGGCGGATCACAAGGTCAGGAGATCGAGACCAGCCTGGCCAACATGGTGAAACCCTGTCTCCACTAAAAATACAAAAATTAGCTGGGCATGGTGGCGTGCACCTGTAGTCCCAGCTACTTGGGAGGCTGAGGCAGGAGAATCGCTTGAACCTGGGAGACGGAGGTTGCTGTGAGCCAAGATCGTGCCATTGCACTCCAGCCTGGGCGACAGAGCAAGACTCCATCTCAAAAAAAAAAAAATTCTTACCAGTTACTTCATTTATATGTTAAATAAAATACTTGAAATATTATTTTAAAACACGTTAAAATATATAAGCAAACCAAGGATTGGAAGAAAATACTTGTAATAAGTAGCTGACAAAGGACTCATATCTAGAATATATAGAACACTTCCAAAAATCAATATGAAAAATACCAACCAAATGGAAAATTAAAAAGAAATTAACTTGAAAGACTTTTTACAAAAGATATAGGAAAGGCAAATAAGCACATTAAAAATGGTAATCCTCATTAGTCATCAAGGAATTGCTATACAAAACATTTTTTAAAAGAGTGTCAACAAGGCAGGGTACCGTGACTCATGCCTGTAATCCCAGAGCTTTAGGAGGCCGAGGCGGGCAGATCATGAGGTCAGGAGATCGAGACCATCCTGGCTAACACGGTGAAACCCCGTCTCTACTAAAAATATAAAAAATTAGCCAGGCGTGGTGGTGGGCACCTGTAGTCCCAGCTACTCGGGAGGCTGAGGCAGGAGATGGCGTGAACCCAGAAGGCGGAGCTTGCAGTGAGCCAATATTGCGCCACTGTACTCCAGTCTGGGCAACAGAGCGAGACTGTGTCTCAAAAAAAAAAAAAAAAAAGAAAAGAGTGACAACAACAAATATTCGCAAGGATGTAGAATAAATAAAACTCTCAAAATTTGTGAGTGGGAGTAAAAAAATGGTACAATCACTTTGGAAAACTGTCCACTTTTTATAAATTTAAACATATAGTTTGCCCATGCTTTAGCAATTCCTAGGCATGTATCCAAGAAAATTAAAAGCATATGCTCATGAAATGACTTGTACATAAATTTACATAGCAGCTTTATTCATAGTAGCCAAAACTGCAAAGAACCCAAATGCCTATCTAGAGGATAGTGGAAAAACAAATTATGTTTATATCATATTCATACTGCTCAGCAATTTAACAGCAACAACAAAAAACCCTACTGAGACTCTCAACAACATGAATGAATCCCTCAGACATTATTTTAAGTAAAAAAGAAAAAAAAAAACAGGGACAAAAGAGTATTCACTATTTTATTCCATTTATATAATGTTCAAGGACAGAAAAAATCCACAGTCATAGAAATCATAATAGTGGTTTTCTATGGATGGAGGGTGAGGATTGGCTGAAAAGCAAGTAAAAACTTTCTGAGAAAATAGAACTATTTTATATTATGATTGGGAGCTAGGATATAGATTACATGAATGTATACATCATCAAAATTTGTCAAATTTATGCTCTATCCTTACATCAATACAACACTGCCTTGATTACTGTAGTTGTGTGTTAAATACTGATATCAGGCAATATAAGCCCTCCAACTATTTGTTTCTCTTTCAAGATCATATTAACTATGCTATGTCCTTTGTATCATCATGCAAGCTTTTTAAAAAAAAATGTTGTCAGAATTTTGATCAATATTGCTTTAAATTTTAAAGATCAATTTAAGGAAAATTGACATTTTATCACTATTAAGTCTCCTGTTCCATGAATATTGTATATTCTATTTATCTAAATGAACTCCATTTATTTAGATCTTTAAAATTTTTTGTTTAAATGTTTTGTAGTTTTCTGGGGAAAGTTCTGGCATATATTCTTTTCTGGGGAAAGGTCTGGCATATATTCTTTTGTATTTATTTTTAGATATTTGATATTTTATGCTATTTTGAATGTTACAAGTATAAAGAAATGTAATTAATTTTTATATTTTCCATTTACTCAACAAAAGTGCTAAATTCACTTATTAATTATGCATTCTCAGTGATCGTTTTTTGGATTCTCTATATATCTAAACCATATTGTTTGCAGATAATGTTTTACATTTTCATTTTCAATATATATGTTTGTCTTCGTTTTGCACTATTTTACTAATTAGAACCACAGTATAATGTTGAAAAGAAGATACAATATTCTTGTCTCACTTCAGACTTTAAGAAGTAAAGCATTCAATATTTTACTATTAAGTATTCCATTACCTTTAGATGTTTTGCAGATATTTTCAGATTGAGAAATTTTCCTTAACTTCTAGCTTACTGAAACTTTTCATAAAAGTGTTTTTCATCTTATCAAATTTTTTTACTTACTAATGAGAAAAACAAGTCTTTTATCTTTATTTGAGTTTCAAATGTTAAACCAATATTGCTTCCTTGAATAAACCATATTTGTACTGATATGTTAGCATTTTTATATATTGCTAAATTCAATTTTCTGATATTATATTTCTTGTGGTAAAAAATACATATCATATGAGCTCTACCTTCTTCACAAATTTTTATTTTTATTTTATTTTTATTTTTATTTTTTTTTTGAGATGGAGTCTCGCTTTGTTGCCCCGGCTGGAGTACAGTGGCACAATCTCAGCTCACTGCAACCTCTGCCTCCTGGATTCCAGCAATTCTCCTGCCTCAGCCTCCTGAGTAGCTAGGACTACAGGGATGTGCCACCATGCCCAGCTAATTTTTTGTATTTTTAGTAGAGATGGGGTTTTGCCACGTTGGCCAGGCTGGTCTCTACTCCTAACCTCAAGCAAGCTGCCCGCCTCGGCCTCCCAAAGTGCTGTGATTACAGGCATGAGCCACCGCACCTGGCCTAAATTTTTAAGTGTACAATACAATATTGTCAACTCTAAATACAGTGTTGTAAAGCAGATTTCTAGACATTTTGCATCTTGCATGACTGGAACTTTATATCCATTAAACAGCAACTTGCAATTTCCTTCATTCAAAACCCTGGCAACCACCATTTCTGTTTATATTATTTTGACTACTTTAAATGCTTCATATAAGTGGAGTCATGGAGTATCTGTCCTTCTATGACTGACTCATTTCACTTAATATAGTGCCTCCATGGTTCATTCATGTTGTAACATATGGCAGAATTTCCCTGTTTTTATGGCTGAATAATATTTCATTGTATGTATAGATCATATTTTATTTTTCCATTCACCTATTGATGTTGGCTATTGTAAACAATCCTGTAATAAACACTGGAGTATAGATATTTCTTTAAGATCCTGATTCCAATTGCTTTAGATGAATACTTATAAGTGGGATTGCTCAATTATATGATAACACTATTTTTAATTGTTTTGGGGACCTCCATACTGTTTCTTTAGTGATTGCAAGATTTTACATTACCACCAACAGTGCACAAGGATTCCAACTCTCCACTTTCTTACCAACACCTATTTTCAATTTTTCTTGTAATGTTTATTCTAACTGGTATAAGTGATGTCTAAATGTGTTTTTGATTTATGTTTCCCTGATGATTAATGGTGTTGAACATGTTTTCATATACTTCTTGGCCACTTATGTGTCAAAGATCTTGACCTACTTTAGTGTGTGTATGTGTCTGTGTGTGTGTGTGTGTGTGTGTGTGTGTTTGGCAGAAGGGAGGTTCTTTTACTATTGAGTTGTAGGAATTCCTTATATATGTTGGATTTTAATCCCTTATCAGATATAACAGATTCCTCATTCTGTTCATGGTTTTGCAAATATTTTCTACCATTCCATAGGTTGACTTTTCAATCTGATTATTTTTTCCTTTTCTGTGCACTAGCTTTGATGTAGCTTGACATACTCTCACTTGCCCACTTTTGTTTTGTTGCCTAAGTTTTTTGTGTCAGATCTAAGAAATAATTGCCAAGACTAATGTTACTAAGTTTTTCCCGATGTTTTCTTCTAGAAATTTTATAGTTTTAGGTTTCAAATGTAAGTCTTTAATCCATTTTGAGTTGATTTTTGTGTATGGTGCAAGATAAGGGTAATTTCATTCTTTTACATGTGCATATCCAGTTTTCTTAGTATCATTTTGCAATACTATCTTTTCTCTATGGCACCCTTGCAGAAGATTCTTTGACCACATATACAGGGGTTTATTTATGGGTTTATTTCTGGGCTCTTTATTTAGTTGCATTGGTCTATAGGTCTGAATTTATTCCAGTACCATACCATATCGATTACTGTAGCTTTATAATGTGTTTTAAAATTAGAATATGTGAGGTCAACAGCTTCAGCTTTTTCATCAAGACTGTTTTATTTATTTAAGGTCCTTTGTGGTTCCACATAAATTTTAGGATTATTTTTTACGTTTTTGAAAAAACTGCTAGTGAAACTTTGGTAGGGATTTTATTAATCTATAGACCATTTTGGGTAGTATGGAGATTTGGGCAATATTAGTTCTTCCAATCCATGAACATGGATGTCTTTTCATTTATTTGCATTCTCTAATTTCTTTCAGCACCGTTTTGTAGATTTCAGTGTACAAATTTTTCATCTCCTTCATAAAATTTATTTTTAAGTATTTTATTATTTTTGATGCTATTGGAAATGTGATTGCTTTATTGATTTCCTTTTTAGATTGTTTTTTGTCAAAGTATAGAGGCACAACTGATTTTTGTATGTTTATTTTGGATCCTGAAACTTTGCTGAATTTATTTATTAGTATTAACAGGCTTTTTGTGGAATCTTTGGAATTTTCTATGTATATGATGATGTTATCTACAAACAGAGATAATATTACTTCTTCCATTCTAATTTGAAAGCTTTTTATGTTTTTTATGTTTTCTTGCCTAGTTGCTCTGGCTAGTACTTCTAGAACTATGTTGAATAAAAGTGGTAAAAGGGCATTTTTGTCTTCTTCATGATCTTAGAAAAAAAGCTTTCCATTTTCTTACTATTCAGCATGATGTTAGCTGTGGACATTTCACACATGACTCATCTTATGTTGAGTTAATTTTCTTCTATTCCTATTTTTTTGAGTATTTTCATCATGAAAGGATGTCAAATTTTGTCAAATGCTCTTTCTGCATCTATTGAGATCATCATGTGATTTTCGTCCTTCATTCTGTTAATGTGGTACATCACACTAATTGATTTTCATATGTTGAAACATCTTTGCATCCCAGGGATAAATCCCACTTGGTTGTAAAGTACAATTATCTTAATGTGCTGTTAAATTTTGTTTTCTAGTGTTTTGGTGAGGATATTTCCATCTATATTCATCAGTAATATTGTCCTGAAGTTTTATTTTCTTGTAGTATCTTTTCTGACTTGGTTATCAGGCCAAAGCTAGACTCATAAAATAGGTTTGAAAGTGTTCTCTCCACTTCAATTTTTTTTTAAAAGTTGGCATTAATTATTTTTTAAACGTTTGATATTCTCTGGGGAAGCCAACTGATCTTGGGCTTTTCTTTGCTGGGAGATTTTTGATTACCAGTACAATCTCCTTACTAGTTATACTTCTAGTGAGATTTTTCTGTTTCTTCATGATTCAGTCTTGATAGATTTTATGTTTCTAGGAATTGATCTATTTCTCCTAAATTATTCAAATTGTTGGCAAAAAATTTTTCATAAAAGTATCTTTTCATCTTCTTAAACTCTGTGATATTTATTGTAATGTCTCCTGTTTCATCTATGATTTTGTTTGAGTCTTGGCCGTGAGAGTGCCACCCTCATAAATTGATTAGTGCTTTTTAAAAGAACTTGAGGGGGGCAAGTTTACCTCTTTCACTCTCCTCTCATGTGAGAATGCAGCCCCCTTTTTTGCCCTTCTATCCCTTCTCCTATGTGAGGACACCTAGACATCCTGATCTACGAGAAGCAGGCCTTTGCCAGACACTGAACCTGCTGGCACCTTGATTATGAGTCCGCCTCCAGGACTGTGAGAAAATAATTTCTATTGTTTATAAATTACCCAGTCTTGGGTATTTTGTTATAGCACCATGAATGAACTAAGACAGAAAGTGGTACCAACGATGTTGTTACAACAGATATCTAAAAATGTGAAAGCAGCTTTGGACTAGGTAAGGGATAAAGGCTGGGAGAATTTGGAGGTTGCTAAAAACAGCCGAGACTGTCATGAGCACAGCATTAATGGAAATTCTGGTGAGGGATCAAAAGAGAAGAGCTGTAGAGAGAGTGACACTCTTCTTAGAGATGTAAATAGTTGTGATCAGAATGCTGGTAGAATCATGGATGATAAAGGCCATTTCAATGAGGTCTTAGGCAGAAATATGGAATGTCTTATTGGAAACTGGAGGGAGGAAGACCATTCTTCTTAAAAGTGGCAAATAACTTGGCTGAATTATGTCCATGTCTAGTACTTTATGGAAGGCAGAATTTAAAAAAAATGAATTCCAGTTTTGGTAAGATATTGCTAAGCAGGAAAGAATTTCAGATGTTGCATGGCTTCTCATAACTGTTTATAATTTATACACAAAAGGGAAGCAGAACTTAAATATTTGGAAAATTCTCAGCCTAGCCAGATTGTAAAGAATAAGATGGTGTGTTCGACAATACGAAAGGTGTGGCATAAGAGTAGTATGGATAGGCTGGGCACGTGGTGGCTCATGCCTGTAATCCCAGCACTGTAAGAGGCTGAGGTGGGTGCATCACTTTAGGCCAGGAGTTTTAGAAAAGGCTGGCCACTATGGCGAAATTCCATCTCTACTAAAAAATACAACAATTAGCCAGGTGTGGTGGCACATGCCTGTAATCCCAGCTACTCAGGAGGCTGAAGCACGAGAATCGCTTGAATCTGGGAGGCAGAGGTTGCAGTGAGCTGAGATGGCACCACTGCACTCCAGCCTGGAGGGCTGGAAGACCATCCTTCTTAAAAGTGGCAAATAACTTGGCTGAATTATGTCCATGTCTAGTACTTTATGGAAGGCAGAATTTAAGAACAATGAATTCCAGTTTTGGTGACAGAGCAAGACGATGTCTCAAAAAAAAGATTTTTTTTAAGTAGTATGGATGGAAGGAAGCCAGATGCTATTCAACAATACAATGAAAGAATGACCCCAAAGGCAGTTTAGAGATTTTTTGAGGCTGAACAAGCCCAGTGTGCTAGGGCTTCAAAGGCCTAACAGTTTCAAGGGAGAGGTCCAGGGTACCTGTGGGAACATAAGGCTCACTGCCCAGGGCCACTCCAGTCTCTGCTCCCTGCATTCTGGTGCATCACTTCTTGACTGCCCTAACAATGCCACCAATGGACCCAGGTATGGCTTAGGTCACTACTCCGAAAGGTACAGGCCATAAACCATGATGGTGTCTGCACAGCGCTAACTCTGTAAGTGCACAGAGTGAAAAAACCATGGAAGCATGGCAAACTCCACCTAGACTTTTCCTCTCTTGCTGTCTTCCTTTATGTTTCATTGATCTTTATGTAGTGACATAATTTGATTACTTTCTCACTTATTTTTGTGTATCCTCTGCTGGTATTTTCTTTGTGGTAACCATGAGGCTTCCATAAAACATCTTATTGTTATAACATATTCTAAACAAACATCCACTCATATTTTGTTTTTACATATTCAAGAGTGAGGGTAAAATAGAGGCATTTTAAAACAATCAGAGCATGACAGAATTTATCAGTCATACTCTCAGTAAGTGAATCACTGAATTTTTAACAGGAGATAATTGAATGAAAAAAGAAAATAGGTTGAAAGATACCCCTGTGTATAAATAAACTGCCAAACTTTTGGAGCAATCTGAACAAACACTGATGCTAAGAAAATAAAAAATTGTGGGATATAAAAGCTAGATAAAAATAAAATACCAAAAATAGTACCATGTAAAATGAGAGGGAGTAATAGGAATTAAAGCCTTTTTTATTTCATTTTTTTGAGATGAAGTTTCACTCTTGTTGCCCAGGCTGGAGTGCAATGATGCAATCTCAGCTCACTGTAACCTCCGCCTCCTGGGTTCAAGCAATTCTTCTGCCTTGGCCTCCCAAATAGCTGGGATTACAGGTGTCCCCCACAACATCCGGCTAATTTTTGTATTTTTAGTAGAGACGGGGTTTCATCATGTTTGCCAGGCTGGTCTCGAACTCCTGACCTCAGGGATCCACCCACCTTGGCCTCCCAAAGTGCTGGGATTACAGGTGTGAGCTGCCACGCCTGGCTGAATTAAAGCTTTTTAATCTGTGTGTATTGCTCTGGAAAGGACAGAATTATTGATTAAATTAGCCTGCCAATTTAGGTATGCATGTCTTTATAATGACTGAAGTCTATTTCTCAGGTCATAACCCCAAAAGACACTATTTCTGTTCATTTCCCTTTCCCTACCCTCAGTTCAGGAGTTTAAAAAAGCAGTAAGATACCAACTACTCTTGTATATCTTTTGTAACAGATAGATTTTGCTGGTAATCTATACCAGCAAACCTGTTTCATGATTATCTTCCTCTTCAGAGAGCTATGAGCACTTCACTTATCTTTCTACCAGAAGTTAAATGTTTCCTCTTCATCCATTCTCACCTCTTCTTTTTAAGCTTGATTCAGGATTCAATCTCATTATTTCAAACCAAGGTAGTAAAATATAATCACTTATGTGTATCTGAATTACCTGGAGAAAACTTGTCAAAATATATAAGCTGGATTCCACATTCACATTCCCGGATGCACACATGCAAGAGAACTGAGATGAATACTTACAGGAATGTTTCTAAAAGTTTTTCTCCATCCAACTTATTTTGATGCACAGCCCATAATCATCAAGTTAAATCTACTTACATATTCTAGGATACCATGAGGCAAGACATAATTTATAACAAGTCTCTATAATTCACTGAGTCTACCCTAAATCATAGTATCCTACAGTAAAATTCCAATAGATCTTATGTTTAATCTGTAACTTGGTACCTTGCAAAATTCCTTTTTTTCTCATTTCATAGCAATATATGCTTATTATGGGATAAGAAAAATTTCAAAGAAAATTGGTCTTAATTCTATTTTTTTCATTTTTATTCTAATTTTTCCATTTTTATTCTAATGTGTATGTGTGTATGCACATATACATTTTGCTAAAAAAATTACATGTTTTCTTTCTTTTTATATATCAACTTGTTCTTGTCTTTCTTTATGTAATGTTATTTCGTGGCCATTCTCCAATGCCTTTATAAAAATCTTCCAACACCTAAATTTTTGTTTTATATTTCATCATATAGGTGTACTGTGACTTATTTACAGTCTACATTGTTGAACATATAATAGTTTTCATTCTTTACTAAGATAATGACATGAAGTTCTTCAGTACGAATCTTTGATAACTTTCTTAAAAGAGTTTCAGGAATGGGTTTACTGGGGATAAACATTTTTTTTTTTTCCAGGCGGAGTTTCGCTCTTGTCACCCAAGCTGGAGTGCAATGGCGCGATCTCGGCTCACTCAGCCTCCGCCTCCCCTGTTCAAGCAATTCTCCTGCCTCAGCCTCCCGAGTAGTTGGGATTATAGGCACCCACCACCACGCCTGGCTAATTTTTGTATCTTTAGTAGAGACAGGGTTTTGCCATGTTGGTCAGGCTGGTCTCAAACTCCTGACTTCAGGTAATCCGCCCACCTTGGCCCCCCAAAGTGCTAGGATTACAGCCACCGTGCCCCGCCGGGGATAAACATTTTTAAAGCTCTTCATTTCATGTAGATTATATTAAGGGTCTGTTATTTATGTGAAGTTTATCTCTTTATGGAGAATCACACCACCTCAGAAAATCTACACTCTTTTACAGACCATTATGAAATATGTGGTCTCATGATAGAATATTATAATCTTCATAGAGTAGATGGGGTTGCAGAGAAATCAGACATCTGAACTCTTTTCCCTTTATTACAATTTACTTGCTCTGTGGCCTAAAGCAATTCACTGAACAATTTTGTTAGAAAACTGCCTCGAGGTTCTACGGAGTAAGGAAGAACAGGAAGGTTATATTCATGTTCTCTTGAAGATTGGACTGTGGGCTATAACATTCAAGGAGACAAAACAAGATATAAAATTAAGAGCCTAGTCCAACATACAAAAGAAAACAAGTGACTATATTACTCCAGGGGCAACATTGCAAAGGATTACATTTAACATATTTGTAGAAGTTTCCAGAAATTGAAACACCGTATTGGCCTTTCATAAGAAAGCATTTTTTTTCTGTTTAAACTCCTAAAATGTTTCACTTTAACACAGCAAATTCACTTTATAAAGTTAACATTGTTCCATAATTATTTATCTAATTTTTATATGTATAGGTTATTCCCTTTTTCCTGTTTCTTTCTCAAATGCTCATGTAAATTTAATACAAGAAATGGTTTAGTTATTTTTAAAGCACGGACAATAACATGTCTTTTGAACCGACGCTGATTTGGTGAAAGCAGAGAGGAACCTATTTGAAATTAAACATCTGTTGCCATTTTTAATTCTGTAGAAACTTTTGGTAATTTATAAAAAAGCATTTTTCAACAAACCCTTATGAGCACTTTGTATGGGTCCAGCCCTGTTAGACAATAAAAATTCAGAAAACAGTAAGAGATGATCTCTCTTCAAAGCATTCATAGCATGGTAAGAGAGACAAACATGTATACAAATAATTACAGTACCATGGATAGGCACTACTACACTTGAGAAAACATTTAGGCTAGAATAGAAAAATAATAAATTGAGCCTTGTGGTCAGGTCTGGAAAAACTTTTCAGAGGAGGTAACTTTTGAATAGACCAAAAAAAAAAAAAAAAGAAAAAAAGAAAAAGACTTCAAAGCAGTGAAAAGAAACACATTAAAATCAGAGGCTATAGCATGTTGCATTAAAAGAACATAGAATTGGCCGGGCACGGTGGCTCACGCCTGTAATCTGAATACCTTGGGAAGCTGAGGCAGGTGCATTACAAGGTCAGGAGATCAAGACCATCCTGGATAACACGGTGAAACCCCATCTCTACTAAAAATACAAAAAAATTAGCAGGGCGTGGTGGCGGGCGCCTGTAGTCCCAGCTACTCGGGAGGCTGAGGCAGGAGAATGGTGTGAACCCGGGAGGCGGAGCTTGCAGTGAGCCGAGATCGCGCCACTCCAGCCTGGGCAACAGAGCAAGACTCCGTCTCAAAAAAAAAAAGAAGGAACATAGAATTATAAAACATGGATGATGCTATGAGGGGTCAAAAAAAGTCACTATTACAGAAGAACTGTCTAGTAAAATACATCCTGTCGCTATTTACCACCAGGTATCACTTCTCTTTTTGCTGTAATCCTTAAGAAGTTATTAGAAATCGTTTTATTTGGTGCTTCTATACAGATATTGTGCATAATACTCTCCAAACTAAAACTGATTTGTGAATGAAATTTAAAGAGAACATAAAAAATCATTCAGTGATTGTGATAGAACCAGAAGGACTGTGAGCCTTCAGGACTTAAGATGTTTGCCACAGAATAACTGAGCAAGACTTCAAGAAACATGGTACAGAAAAGAGAGTTTCCCTATAGCTCAGACTCACTGTTTGGAGCAGCATTTCCAGGAGAACTGAGCAGAGTGCAGAGTACAAAGGCCCTGGAATTCTTTCCAAATATCAGTGACTTTCTGATGATGACTTTGATGTCTTTGGAGTGAGGCATGTTACAAGCACAAAGTATTTATTACTAACTTGTCACAGGAAAAATTATCTCATAGAAAAATTTAAGAGCTGAACGTTAAAAATTTCAACCTAGCCAAACAACATTCTTTGTTTTATGATGAGCAGCCTGCTAAATAAAAAAAGAAAAAATAAAATGTCATGAGCAATTAACATCTTTCATGCAGTGTTTCTGTACAAATGTCTATTAAATATTAAGGTGGATCACGACTGGCAGCTCTCCAGGGCTCTGCAGAGCACACAACACATGCGGATCATCTGTCTGCATCAGCAGAGGCTGCAATTCAGAGATAATCAAGTTCTTCTCCCCAACTCTATCTGCAACTATCCATTTCCTTTTCTCTTTTTTTTCCTCCTCCCCATTGAAAATCTAATGTGATGATTTAAAATACACCTTTAAAAAAAAAACCTACACATAAAAAGAGAGAAATTAAACTGCACTTAAAGATTTACTGTGACAGAATGTAATGTGGGATATGTTTGCTGTTTCTCCTGGTATTTCCTGGGATGAAGCATTCAGCTTAAGAAGAAGAGAATTTTATTATCTGTTCAGCAAAGCCTAGAGAGAAGATTAGCCTTCCAGATATAGAACTACAGAAAGCACTACGGAAGGCTAGAAGGAAGAAGCACATTCCAGTAGTAATTCACACATACTCTCCCAGAGCAAATTTCCTCACAAATGGCAACAAGATTCTGTTCAAACATTTACTAAATTAGATGTGCTCTATTTTCTTCCGGATGATTAAGTACTTGGAAGCTAATATTTTATCCTTAAATATTTGCATATAATGATTTCTAAGACATGCATGAGGCATATCTGATACTGTATTTAAAGGGTATTCAAAAAGAGACTCTAGAAGAGCTGTGTACCCCAAGAAATATTTCCTGTTCATAATCTTCTTTATGCTTCTAGAGTGCCTTGCACTTACCACTACTCTTATGTAAATCACACTGTCTGGTGTTTACTTATTTACTCATTTACTCATCTCACCATACTGACAGAGGGCAGAATTTGAGATTTACTTGTTCTTGTATCTCCATACACTGCCCTGGCAATATCAAGCATTAATAGAATGTTTTTAAGTGATTAAACAATAGCTTATAACCTTGAGGAGTTGATATTATAGTATTAAATATAATAATAGCATAGGTATTTCATTTTGAAACTAAATCCTATTAAAATGTAATTTAACACGTTGATGCTTCAAGGGTTACAACTAAGTGTCTTCTGAAATGATGCTGAAATTATCATTCTTCGAAAGTGAAAACAATTCACATTCCAGATTTTTAATTCAAACGGTTTTATTGTGACATCTTATAAGAGAAGGAAAAAATATTTCTATTGGTAGTTTGAATCCTATGAATTTAGAAAATATGTTTTTTAAACTCTAGTTAGCCTGAATTCCTAAAGTTTCTTTGAATTTATAAAACATATTATTATAACCAGATACATATTTGGTTATACATAAACCTACAGTATTTTTCTAATATTTTAGAATTTTTTTCTTAAAAATTAGGTCAATGTTCAGTGCTAATTATTCAAACTATTCAAAAATTTCTCCTTCTGAGTAAATCCTGCTAAAGTATTTAGGCCATGAGTGCTTTTATCAGAAGGAACCCTTTGTGCTTTGAGTTAGCCATTCTCATGATTACTTACCACCCTTAAACGCCTAAGAAATCAAGATAAAATCAGCAAGAATTGATATACGTGCCTATAACTACCATGTGCCAGGAACTGGCAGTGTCGTTTACATGAATGTGTTATTCAGAAGAGCTGCCTCTTGGTTTCTGATTTCTGGCATCCAAAGTAGAATTTGATTACACACAATACTCAGTATCTCAAAGCTGTCATTTGATTTCTCAGCTCTAGTAGCTTTGTAGGTAGGTGGATAATGTTTATTCTGCACCCTTGAGAAGAGTTATCATTTTAAAGTAATACAAAAACAATTCAAGAAGCAGTGCAAACCATTTTAAAAGTAATGGTCTGCGATGCCACCAGAACGGGTGGATTCTAATCTTGGTCTGTTGGTACCTAACTGTGTGGTGTTTGGCTAATCTCTCACCTCTCTGTGTCACAACTCACTTCCTCATAAACAGAGAGGGTTCTAGGATTTACTCACTCATTCCAGGTAGTTACTGTGCACTGACCATATGCAAGACATTATGGTAAACTTCACAGATGATGCAAGTAGTCTTCAAATTGCTAATAGAAATAACTAGTTCTTTTAGAAGTTGAGTTAGAAGTTACTGAATTGAAATAGATGTAGTTACTTCCAGAGACCCAGAAATTACTAAATCTTGTCCTGCCAATCACCTATTCTTTCTAAGCCATTCCCGAGGGAATTACGCATACATTTATTGACTGGTGTATATTGAACCATCCCTGTATCCCTGGAATGAAACCAACTAGATCATGGTGAATTATATTTTTGATGTGCTGTTGGATTTGGTTAGCTAGTAATTTGTTGAGAATTTTTGCATCTATGTTAATCAGGGATATTCGTCTGTCTGGGTTTTTTTTTTGTTGTTGTTAGGTCCTTTCCTGGCTTTGGTATCAGAGTGATATTGGCTTCACAAAATGAGTTAGGGAGGATTCTCTCTTTCTCAATATTTTGTAATAGTTTCAATAGGACTGGCACCTACTAAAACTATCGAATGTCTGGTAGAACTCAGCTGTGAATCTATCTGGCCACGGGCTTTTTATTGTTGTTGGCAATAAATAGTCCCATCAAAAAGTGGGCAAATGACATGGATAGACATTGTTCAAAAGAAGACATACAAATGGCAAAGAAACATTTAAAAATGCTCAACATCACTAGTCATCAGGGAAACACAAATTAAAACCACAATGATATATCATCTTACCCTAGCCAGAATGGCCATTACTAAAAAGTCAAAGAACAATAGCTGTTGGTGTGGATATGGTGAAAAGGAAAAGCTTATACACTGTTGGGGAGAATATAAATTAGCCCAACCCCTGTAGCAAGCAGTATGAAGATTTCTCAGAGAAGTAAAAGTAGATCTTCCATTTGATGGACAAATCCTACTACTGGCTATATACCCAAAGGAAAAGTCATTATTATCAAAAAGACACCTGCAAGCATAAGTTTATACTGCACAATTCACAACTGTAAGGATATGGAACCAATCTAAGTGCCGATCAACCAGTGAGTGAATAAAGAAAATGTGGTATACATACAGCATGGAATACTACTCATCCATAAAAAAGAATGAAATAATGTATTTTGCAGCAACTTGGTTGGAGCTGGAGGTCATTATTATAAGTGAAATAACTCAGTATTGGAAAACCAAATACCGTATGTTCTCACTTATAAGTGAGGGCTAAGTTATGGGTACACAAAGGCATACAGAGTGATATAATGGACATTGGAGCCTCAGAAAAGGGGGGACAGATTAACAAAAACAACATACTGGGTATAATGTACACTACTCAGGTGACGGGTACACTAAAATCTCAGACTTCATCACTATAACATTCATCCATGTAACCAGAAACCACTTGTACCCCAAAAGCTATTGAAATTTTCTTTTAAAAATGAAAGAAACTGAGTCAACAGCTAATAAACAGAAAATCTCAGACTGGAACCAAGGATTTGAATCTAAGGCATGTTTTCTTAATACTATCCCCTAAAACAGTATAAGGAACCAGATATCACTTTTGAAATTGATGCTGTTAATCCCAAACAAATACCATTACCTTCAAAATTGCCTCCAGCAATAGAATAGATACAGAATAGATATGTTGTACTTATAAAGACCAATGTTGTTTCCCTCCTCTAGTTTGCTTTGGAACTCTCAGGCTGCTAAAACAAGATGCCTATTCTTTGCCATCAGCCTGCACCACACACTGCCTAGAATGGTGACAAATAGAATCCTCTGCTCTCATCTTTGTTTAGAAATCTGTCCCTTTTTCTATATTGTATCTAGAGAGGATCAAAAGACTGCCTGTGTTTTGTGCATCTTCATGAGTGTGTGTTCTCTGTGAAAAGGCATATTCATATGAAAAAGAAAAAAAACTTCTCGAAATACTCTTTCAACAACATGACAGTTCTAACTCCATTAATTGTAATCTACATGCTACGAGGAAGAATGGCATCAAACATGTCAGTTTGGTTTATAGAATGGACCCTGCCTCAATGACCTGTCCCCTATAATCACAAAGGTGGTGATAATTAAACAGAGAGTAAAAGACTGAAAATAGCAAGAACTGACTTAAATCCATTATTCCACCCTGCTATTAGAAGAGAATTGAGCACAACTGTCTGCGTTGTAACACAGTGGTCCACCCACTTGTCAAATATGACTCAATGCATAGTCTTCTCTCATGAGGTTGGATATAAGAAGAGGTAAACAGAAATAGAAGCTTCTAAGTACATAGAGAAGAATGGAAGTATTTCTTTCCCACATGTACAAATGAAGTATTCTTTCTCTTTCAAAGATAGTTCCTTTTGTCTTCAAAACAGTAGCATCATAATGAGTAAAAAGATATTAGTTTTCCTGATTTCCATATGACACAATTGTGGAAGATGTTTCCAAATACCTTAGTTCAAGACATACATGCCCTGTTACATAAGCCAGAATACACTTTACCCATAATTCCTAAGACAGGTCCAATATTAATTCATGTATGTTATTTATTTAAAGCAATGGAGATTTATAAAGAGTCTGTTTCAATATAGATTCTTCTCTCATTGATATATTCAGCATAGCTAATAGACACTAATAAAATTGATAAATCCTAATATGCTTGCCCCTTTATTTTATATTTGAGAATCTTCTTCCAGAATTTCACGGTGGATTTGGAGTTTGTGTGATTCAACTCCAACCAGAAACTTTATTTGTGATTATATATGATGATTACCCATCATACAATAGAGCAGATTACAACTGAAGAAAGAAGAAACAAGAATGTCCACTGTTACTTAATTTTATATTACTCCTCTGAAATGCACCACTGTGACCCAAAATAAAAGCCTCAAAGTGAACTGGTTTCCAAAGTGAAACTTCTAGATTTCCTTCAGATCAATTATTCTCACTCAGCATCTATAGAACCACGGGTGATTTATTAAACTATATTCTGTCACCCAAGCTATCACATTGCCAATTTAGAATTCTTTTATACAAAAACTGTTCAATTTAGCAGTTATAAATTTTCTAAAGATATTAATGACTGTAAATGTGGCTAGATTGTCAGTGGATGTACAATATTGTGCACAATTAAGGATAACCCAATACTGGAAAAAGTATTTTTTTCAACACTTAGTTGACTCAGAATTGGACTCATGTACCAGGTAAGAACAAGCACGCAGGCATCATATTTTCCTTTATAAGTGAGAGAGTACATAAAACATTTCAGGGATATTTTTCCACTGTCTCCTAAAGGAGAATAGACTATTTTTGTGTCCACCACAGCCTCTAGTCTTCCTGGTGGCTGGAATATTTATCCAAAGGACCAAGCTAAAACCTAAATGACATCCTTAATTCCTCTATCTCCTTCATGACTCACATCCAACTGATTAACTCCCCTTCTGCCACATACATGTGCTCATAGACACACACAGACACAAACACACACACACACACACACACACTCTCTCTCTTTCTCTCTTCCATCCTCCGCCACTGCAACTCATTCCCTCATCATCTTGTTTTATCATCCCAAATAATTTCTTAACAACTTCACTATAGTGTACCAAATAATATGCTAGTTACTAGGTACATTAAAAAAATAAAATAAAAAGCACAAATCAAATATTTCTCATTGATCACAGCTATATGTGAAAAGAGATGCATAATCAAACAATTAGATTCGAATGTTAAATATACTAAAAGCATGTATGAAGAGAAAACCAATTTTCATTGAGGGAGTCGGATGTGTATATGTGGCTCTGATGGCCTAGACTAAGAAGTGGATGACGAACAAGGAAGGGCATGTCAATGAAAGGGAACAGCATGTACAAGGAAATGAGATGCTGAAGATCAAGGCATATTGAGAAATATTTGAGTAGTTCAATGTTTCTGAAAACCCCAGGCTGTGGGCAGCATACTGGTTGCACACTCACAGCATCACTGTTCTGCCTGGGGATCCTCCACCATTGACCCACTGCATCAACAGACCACCTGCAGCCATACCCAACAATGCACGCACTCTGACTCCTGCAAGCACAGGGAACTGGTGAATCACTGGAGAGTCACGGGCCTCCTGGCAACCTAACCTTCAGCACGAACCACCCCTAGGGAAAGAGGGGATGCAGCCCACCAAAGTCCCCTTTGGGGCAAAGAAAACTTAGCACAGTGGTGCAGTTGAAGAGGATAGCACCAAGGCCTAGGAACAGACTGGGAGAGGGAGTCATCTCTTGCCCCGCTCCCCAGAGCACTGAAATACAAAAGGAAGGGTGAGTGCAGGTAAAAGCCTATTGGCTGGCCCTCTCTTATGCACCATCTACTGAGCTGCAGCCTAAATTACACCACCAAACAAAAATACATTGTTTCAGCATACAACACCTGTGAAACCCACTGCAGAACCCTATCTACTACCATGGAAACCATACAGAGCCTTGGCCCTCTGCAAGTACCCAGAAGCAAAGCCAATGGACTAAATAAAACATACACCACAGTCAAACCCTTAAGGGAAAAAAAGTATAAAAACAAACAACCCCATCCAAACAACAGCAAATTCCAAAAGAAAAAGAAGTGACTGCTCTCTCAGATGGGAAGGAATCAGAGCAAGAACTCAGGCAATTCAAAAAGCCAGAGCATTTAATCATGTCCAAAGGATCACACTAGATTCCTAGTAATGGATGCTAACCAGATTGAAATGTCTGAAGTGACAGACATGGAATTCAGAATCTGGATGGCAAAGAAGCAATGAGATCCATGAGAAAGTTGAAATCCAATCCAATAAAGCCAGAAAAGCCATCCAAGATTTGAAAGACCACATAGTTATATTAAGAAAGAACGAAACAGAGCTTCAGGAATTGAAAAAATCGCTATAGTTATTTCAAAATACAGTTTAAAGCCTTAATAGCAGACTAGACCAAGCAGAGGAAAGAATTCCAGAGCTCAAAGATCAGTCCTTCAAATCAACCCAGTCAGGCAACAACAACACAAAAAAAAGAATTTTAAAAAATGATCAAAGCATCCAAGAAATATGAGATTATGCAAAGTGACCAAACCTGTTACTCATTAGCATTCCTGTGAGAGAAGAAGAGAGAGTAAGCAATTTGGAAAACATACTTGAGGATATAATCTATGAAAATGTCCCGATCTCATTACAGAGGTTAACATGCAAATTCAAGAAACTCAGAGAACTACTGCAAGATATCATACAAGACGACCATCCCCAAGGCACATAGTTATCAGAGTTTCCAAAGCCAATGTGAAAAAAAAAAAAAAACCTTAAACAAATCAAGAAGAAAAAAACAAACAACCCAATTAAAAAGTAGGCAAAGGACACAAACAGACAGTCATCAAAAGAAGACACACAAGCGGCCAAAGAGCATATGAAAAAATGCTCAAAGTCACTACTCATCAGAGAAATAAAAATCAAAGCCACAATGCGATACTGTCTCACACAAGACAGAATGTTTATAGTTTAAAAAAAAAAACTGTTAGTGAGGCTGCAGAGAAAAGGGAATTCTTATACACTGTTGGTGGGAATGTAAATTAGTTCTGCCCATGTAGAAAGCAGTGTGGAGATTTCTCAAAGAACTAAAAATAGAACTAGCATTTGATCCAGCAATCCCCTTACTGGGTATATACCCAAAGAAAAATAAATTTTTCTACCCCAAAAATACCTGCACTCATGTATTTTTCACAACACCATTCACAATAGCAAAGTCATGGAAACAGGCTGGGTGCCCACATAAAGATGGAAACAATAGACAATGGGGGCTTAGAAAAGAGGGAGAGGAGTACGGACTTAAAAACTTTCTTTTGAGTATGCTGTTCACTATCGGGGTGATGAGATCCATAGAAGCCCAAACTGCAGCATCACAAAATATACTCTTCTAACAAACTTGCACATGTACCCTTGAATTTAAAATAAAAATTAAATTTTTAAAAAACTGAAAGTATTCTGAAATGAATGAAAACACAACACATTACAATTTAAGGAATGCCACTAAAGCAGTATGTAGAAAAAAGTTACAGCCCTAATGCACAACTTAGAAGATATTAAATCATTGACCTCAGCTTCTACATATGAATCTAGAAAATGAAGAGCAAAGTGAACCCAAAGAACCAAGGGAAAGGAAGTAGTACAGATTAGCACAGAAATAAATAAAGCAGAAGACAGAAAACAATATACATCAATAAAATAAAAACTTATTCTTTGAGGTTAATAACATTAATTGACCTCTAGCCATACTGATTAGGGAAAAGAGAAGACACAAATTATAAATACCAGGAATGACAGAGGTGATAAGTTATAAATTATACTGCTATTAAGATCATAATATGGAAATATTAACTTTATGCCAATAAACTCAACAACTTAGATTAAATAAAAATATCTTGAAAGACAAACTACCAGATCTTACTCAAGAAGCAATATATATTCTGAAAAGCCCTATACATATTTTAAAAATTGAATTTGTTGTTGAAGACCTTCCAGCAAAGAATACTTCAGGACCTGATGGTTTCATTGGAGAATTCTACCAAATATTTAAGAAAGAAGTAATATCATTTTTACATGAATCATCCACAAATTTAAAGGAGAGTCAATACCTCTTAACTTATTCTATGAAGCCAGCTTTATACAGATACCAAAACCAGATAAATACATTATGAGAAAAGAAAATTACAGAACAAGATTGTTTACAAACACAGATACAATAATTTTTGACAAATATCAGCAAATTACTTCCTACAATATATAGAAAGAACAATATCATAATCAGGTGAGTTTTATCACAGACATGCAAGATTGATTCAATCATTCAGAAGTCAATCAATGTAGGCCAGGTATGGTAGCTCACACTTGTAATCCCAACACTTTGGGAAGCCGAGGTGGGCAAATCACTTGAGGTCAGGTGTTCGAGACCAGCCTGAGCAACATGGTGAAACTCCGTCTCTACTAAAAATACAAAAATTAGCTGGGCGTGGTGGCGGGTGCCTATAGTCCCAGCTACCCGGGAGGCTGAGGCAGGAGAATTGCTTGAATGCGGGAAGCGGAGGTTGCAGTGAGCTGAGATCACGCCACTGCACTCCAGCCTGGGCCACAGAGAGAGACTCCATCTCAAAAAAAGAAAGGAAAAAAAAAAAAAAAAAGAAGAAGTCAATCAGTGTAATTCACCATAGCAACCAACTAAAATTGAAAACCACATGATCATCTCAATAGTCAAAGAAAAAGCATTTGACATAATATGTCATCCATTCTTGATAAAAAGTCTCACCAAACTAGAATCAGAAGGGTATTTCCTCAAACTGATAAAAGGCATCTATGAAACATCTACAGCTAACATCATATTAAATGGTAAAAAGATGTTTGCTTTTCTCCTAAGAGCAGGAATAAGACCAGGATGTCTGTTCACATCTCTTCTATTCAACATTATACTGAAGGTTCTATCCAGTGCAATAAAGCAAGCAAATAAATAAATAAATGGCAGCCCTATTGAAAAAAAAAAAAAGTAAAACTGTCATTAGTTACAGCTGACATGGTCATCTTCATAGAAAATTTTATGAAACATTGCAAAAAAGATACAAAAACTGATAAGTGAGTTCAGCAAGAATGCAGGGTTCAAGATCAATATGCAAAATCAATTTTATCTCTAAATACTAGTAATGAACAATTGGTACCTAAAAATGTACCATTTATAACACAAAACATACAAGCTACTTAGGAATAAAACTAACAAAAATGTGTAGTACCTATACATTCAAAAGTATAAAATATTGCTGACAATGAAAGAAAACCTAAGTAAATGGAGTTAAACCATATTCATGTGTCAAAAACTTCAATATTTTTAAGACGGCAATTTCCTTAGAACGGATCCATTTTGTAGAAATTGACAAGATTAATAGATAAACAGATTTTGGTGTAGCTATACACGGAATACTATTTAGCAATATAAAGGAATAAACTATTCATTTACATACCATCAATTAATATGTTGAGTTCAAAGAGCCAGACAAACTAGAGTACATATTGTATTATTCCATTCATACAAAATTCTAGAAAAAGAAATATACTCTGTAGTAGCAGAAAACAAAACAATGGTCACCTAGAGATAGGAAAGTGGGTAGGGATGAAAAGGGAAGGATTTCAGTGGGACATGAGGAAACTTTTGAGAGTGATGGGTAAGTTCATTATCTTAAATAATGGGAATTGTTTCATGATGTCTGCAATACCAGAACTAATCAGTTTGTGCATTTCAAACATCTGCAATTTATTGAATATAAATTATATCTCAATATAATTGCTTTTTTAAAAAATAAAAGAATGTAGATAATTGCTAAAGTGCACTTTTGAGGTTCCAAGAGGAAAGAGAATCAAATAGGGAAACAAGAATGGAATCTGGTAAACAAGTGGAAGGATTGGCTTTAGATCAGAGCCCAGATATAAGCACAAAGGCAACAAATGTTAGTGCAAAAGCTATTCGATGACTAGATGCAGTTGTGGGAGTCCTCAGAAGTTCGTTTAGGGGTGTTTACACTTTCTCAGTAAAATAGGGACCAATATCATTAGTTGAGATTGCAAATGGAGAGCAAGGCTTAAGAGGTTTGAGGAAAGAGGAGAGAGCATGAAATAGAAGCATAGGAGTCCACAGTAGTCCAGGAAAATTCATTATGTTTGCCAGATAGCATTAAAAACTCATTTGATGTTCATGACCATGAATTTAAAATGTGACCATTGAGCACATTTAGGTATTTCTCTCCAGTCAGTGAACAGGAGCAGGCATGAAGGAGACAAAGAGCTCTTTTAACTAGGGTTGTGGTTTATCCAAGTAAGTTCGATGAAGTAAGAGAGGAACAAAAGAATGGAGCATGTGTGCAAGAAGCATCTATAATGATTGCCCATAGAATTCAAGCCTAGTCAGAGAGCAAAATGCCAAAAATTAATATATTGGTTGGGCTGTAATTATTGGTAACGACATGGTTTAGAATAATAGCACATGAGTGAGAGATAAAATAAGATAAAGAACAAGATCATTGGAGAACAGAATGTTGAAAGGATCATCAAATTAAAATTGAATAGGGCAGGAATGATGTTGATAAAAGTGTCAGGTAGTTAGTTGCTTAAATCTATGAAAGAAGGGCCAGGCACAGTGGCTCATGCCTGTAATCCTAGCACTTTGGGAGGCGAAGGTAGACAGCTCACTTGAGGTCAGGAGTTCGAAACAAGCCTGGCCAACATGGTGAAACTCCGTCTCTACTAAAAATACAAAAAAATTTGCTGGAAGAGGTGGTGCGTGCCTGTAATCCCAGCTACTTGGGAGGCTGTGGGAGGAGAATCACTTGAACTTGGGAGGCAGAGGTTGCAGTTAGCTGAGATCGCACCACCTCACTCCAGTCTGGGCGACAGAGTGAGACTCCATCTTAAAAAAATAAAAATAAAAAATCCATGAAAGAAGGCGAACAACTCAGAGGTTGAGATGACAATAAAATGATAGCGAGTGAATAAGCAGATGACAACATAAGCTGATGACATAAAACTCTACCCAAGTTCCAGGAGTATGAGATCTAAGAAAGAAAACTATCAATAGTTGAGAGAGCTAAAGTGGAAGTCGTGTTTTAAGGATTCATAGAGTAGAGGTGTGGAGAAACAGGCTTCCATTAGAGCAAAACAAGTGATTTAAATGTTTCTGTAAGACGGTGGTCACATATGGAGTATTTCCTGTTGCAGGACCCTGATTTCTGGGGAACACAATGGAAATGTTTCAGGAGTTGAAGATAGGCAGGAAAAGGGAAACTATGGTCATGCAAAGCCTTACAGGAGTGCTAGAGATGAAGAATGACTGGTTTGGGGGCTTCCTTTAGTGTCTGACAAATCAGGGATAGAAGGCATAAGATTTATCCTGGTAGATTCAAGGTAGATAGTGTGGGTGATGACCTGAGTTTAGAGGTAAGGAGGGGTAGGTATCTGGAAGTTTCTCTTGACCTCTCTCCACAGAGTCAAGGAAGTCTCTAGATGTGGGACATTCATCCTGGTGCCAATTATACTTAAATTCTTAGTGAGGCATGGTTTTAGTCATAATGCAAGTGTTCACCTTTGAGCCCTATTAGTGTAAAGGAAAACTTACAGCAATTGTTCTGACTCATTCTTTATCATTTCTGTAGTTTGAGATATCTAGGGAAACCAAAAATGGACATTGGTTAATGTCCATTCCATCTCTCACAGCCCTCTACAATCTTGATCTTTACCCCATTACTAGGAAGTTTAGGGAAGAGGTAACAGAAAGAGTATCAGAAATGGAGTAAAAGTATCTTTGTGCGTGTTATTTGACCCTTCAAAAATAATTTAAAGTAAAATATTTTAGCATTTTAGGCTGCATCAAAATATCATGTGGAACCTCAAAATACTAAGGGGTATCTATGACAAACCCACAGCCAACATCATACTGAATGGGCAAAAGCTGGAGGCATTCACCTTGAAAACTGACATAAGACAAGGATGCCCTCTCTTAATGCTTCTATTCAACATAGTATTGGAAGTCCTGGCTGTGACAATCAGACAAAAGAAAGAAATACAGGACCTCCAAATAGGAAGGGAGGAAGTTCAACTATCCCTGTTAGGAGACGACATGATCCTATATCTAGAAAACCCCACAGTATCATCTCAAAAGCTTCTTAAGCTGATAAACAACTTCAGCAAAGTCTTGGGATATAAAATCAGCATGCAAAAATCACTAGCGCTCCTATACGCCAACAACAATCAAGCTGAGAGCCAAATTAGGAACAAACTCCCATTCACAATTGTCATAAGAAGAATAAAATACCTAGGAATATAGCTAACTAGGGAGGGGAAAGATCTACAAAGAAAACTATAAAACACTGCTCAAGGGAATCAGAGATGACATAAACAAATGAGAAAACATTCCATGTTCTGTATAGGAAGAATCAATATCATTAAAATGGCATACTGCCCAAAGCAATTGATAGATTCAATGCTATTCCTATTAAACTGCCATGAAGATTCTCCATAGAACTAGAAAAAACTGTTTTAAAATTCATATGAAACCAAAAAAGAGCCCAAGTAGCCAAGGCAATCCTATGCAAAAAGAACAAGGCTGGCAGCATCACGTTGCCTGACTTCAAACTATTTTACAGAGCTACAGTAACCAAAACAGTATGGTACTGGTACAAAAAAAGACACATAGACCAATGGAACAGAACAGAGAACCCAGAAATAAGACCACACACCTACAACCATATGATCTTCAACAAACCTGATAAAACAAGTAATGGGGAAAGTATTCCCTACTCAATAAATGGTGTTGGGATAACTGGCTAGTCATATGCAGATTAAAACTGGACCACTCCTTTATATCATATACAAAAATTAACTCAAGGTGGATTAAAGGCTGAAATGTAAAACCCAAAACTACAAAAACCCTGGAAGACAACCTAGACTATACCATTCAGGACATAGGCACAGGCAAAGATTTCAAGATGAAGATGCCAAAAACAATTGCAACGAAACCAAAAATTGACAAATGGGATCTAATTAAACTAAAGAGCTTCTGCATAGCAAAATAAATTTTCAATAGAGTAAACAGACAAACTACCAAATGGGAGAATATTTTTGCAAACTATGCATCCAACAAAGTCTAATATACAGCATCTATACGTAGCTTAAATTTACAAGAAAAAAATAACCCCATTAAGAAAGAGGGCAAAGGACATAAACAGATACCTTTCAAAAGAAGACATACATGCAGCCAACAATCATATGAAAAAAAGTTCAGGTTGCTGGCAAGATGGCCAAATAGGAATGGCTCCGGTCTGCAGCTCTCAACGACATCGATGCAGAAGACCGGTGATATCTGCATCTCCAAGTGAAGTACCCAGTTCATCTCATCGGGACTGGTTAAACAATGGGTGCAGCCCATGGAGGGCAAGCCGAAGCAGGGTGGGGCGTCTGTTAAAAACAGGCTTTAAACCAACAAAGATCAAAAGAGACAAAGAAGGGCATTACATAATGGTAAAAGGATCAATGCAACAAGAAGAACTAACTATCCTAAATATATATGCACCCAATACAGGAGCAGCCAGATTAACAAAGCAAGTTCTTAGAGACTTACAAAGAGACTTAGACTCCCACACAATAATAATGGGAGACTTTAACACCCCACTGTCAATATTAGACAGATCAACGAGACAGAAAATTAACAAGGATATCCAGGACTTGAACTCAGCTCTGGACCAAGTGGACGTGATAGACATCTACAGAACCCTCCACCCCAAATCAACAGAATATACATTCTTCTCAGCACTGCATCGCACTTTTTCTAAAATTGACCAC